>NC_000015.10:90380672-90532187 GCF_000001405.40 Homo sapiens | reverse complement strand
AAGCAGTGTTACTTTACTGGTAACTGGCCAAGAAGAAAACACGGGCAGAATTAATATGTAAATGATTCCCTGTACCAGGTGAAGGGCAAAATGACACCATAATTTTGTAGTAATTAGAATAAAGTGGTGACTGAATTATCATATGGGCCACAGTTGATTAGGCTTGCTAAATTCAAGAGACCCTGAGCTATAGCAGGGTCTCTAAAGTAAGTAAACACTTTTTTTTTACTTGAAAGTAAGTAAACAGTGAGGATCTGTGAAAAATTTTTGCTTTTAAAAGAGAGTCTGTACATTACTCATGGCCTCACCTGTCAGGGATATTTTAAAGAAGATTCATGAATTGGGTGAAAGATTGGATCCGCCATAGGTATACAGACATATACAGTGCATGTATTTGTACATAAACAATGTACAGTATGTATTTAAAAACACATAACAACACAGGCCCCAACACTAATCCTCAGCTTTCACCCACCCATTCTTTTCAACGTGCTCTGAGCTTATCGAGTTCATCTCTGAATCTAACCAAGGTCACAGATGTAAATGCCAGTGGATGCCAGGCAGGTAAAAAATGAGTGAAGCTGATAGGGTATAAGAAAACATTTTCTTGAAATCTTCAGCTTCTTTCTCTCTATATATATATTTTTTCTCAATGTGAACAGAAATGTAAGTACAGGAAATATTTCACTTTTTCCTTAACTTCACTGAAAGAAAACACCATCATGAGTATAAATGGCAACTGTCACCTAATCTCCCCTTGGGGGACTGTGACAGAGAGTGGACGGTGGCAAACTAGAGTTCTTACTCCATTTGAAAGGGAGCTCAGCTCAGCTCCCTTTCATCATCACCCAGCTCCAGCAGGTCGGTAGCTGTCATGTAGGAATTCAGAATTAGTGTTACCAGGTCTCCCAATTTTTAACATATATAAATAATAATAAATAAATAATACGGAAATTTGGATTTTGTGTGGAAGTCTTCCAATTTAAAAATTCTGGCAACAGATTCAATAATTTTTCCCAAACACTGCGCTGGCCAAAAAATAATGTGTCTGCAACTCAGCTGGTTTGCAACTCTGCTCTCAGCTCTCCTTCAAACTGTCTCCCCCGCCTCAGTCCCCCAGAATCTGCAGATCCTCCCCCATCCTCCCGATGGTCCTCCAAGGTCAGCATTCAGGATCCTCAAGGCCAGCCCCACTCCTGCTGACCCCCCTTCTCTGCAACCCTGCGCGGACACTCCGGTTGGCTCTCCATCCTCCACTGCCTCACTCAGCGGTTACCTAACCTCTCCAGGTGTTTGTCCCGGCTCGCGCCTTACTCATTCCTCCAGGTCCCTCTCCAGTCACCAGCGACGCTTGTCAGTTCTCACTAAATATCCCGGGCCGAACAAAGTAAACTGGACCCGATAAAGCACCTCCAAGGAGTAAAAGGAGCAGAGCCTCACACTCGACACGGAATCCCGTCGTGGTTCCAACAACCCGAGCCACCCCAGGGCCGGGCCCTGGATGGACTTGTGCACAGAGCTCCCCCCACGAGCGCGTGGGACCCTGGGGTGCCCGCGGCCTTCCACGCCGGCAGAACAGCAGGGCTCGATGGTGGGGGATGTTCGGAGCGACCAGAAGCCGCGCCGCGCCACCCGGCCGGCCTCCGAGCTGTTTGCGATTTCCTCTCGGGGCTCCTCGTCCTCCTCCCCCTCAGGCCGCCCTCGCACGGCCGCCCGCCTCCACGGGCTTCACCCCTGCCCATCTTCCCGCACACGGGGCCGGGCGACCCTCCCACCTCAGCCCGGGATCGCGAACGGCTAGCGGGTGTCGCCAGGCGGGGAAACGCCGAGGCCGCGGCCGCTCCGGTCCCCCTCCCAGCCGCCGGTTCCCGGGCGCGGCCCCCGCCCGGCCCCGCCATCGCCTTGGCCCCGCAACCTCTCACCCGCCGCGCGGGTCCCGCCCGCGGCCGTGGCCGCCCCCGCCCGCGCCGGCCCGGGCCCTCACCCGCGACAGGGTGAGGTCGGTCATGAGCTGCTCGAAGGCCCGCGTCTCCTCGGCCTGTCTCTGCGTGTGCAGCGCGATCTTCTCACTGAACTTCCGCGGGTTGGCGCTGCCCGAGCCCGGCGAGGCGGCCATGGCGCGGACTCTGCGCGGGCAGAAGCGGGAGACGGCGGCCGTGGGGCCTGTACCTCGGCCCACCCGTCCGTCCACAGGCCGCCGGGGCCGCCGCCCGAAGCCAGTCGTCCGGCGCGACCCGGCAGAGGAGCCGCCGCGGCCCCGGAGCCAGCGAGCGGCCGGGAGCGCGCCGAGGTCCGCCCCCGTGCGCCCGGCCCCGCCCCACCCTCGGCGGGGCCCGCCCGGCCTCCAGTCTGCCCCGGCCCCACGCTCGCGGGCTGAGGGCTGCTCCCCGCTTCCCGGTCTGGCTCGGGACCCGCCGCCGGCGGCCACCTGGAGGGACCCCCGTCAGCCCGACAAAGTGGCCCCGGCGTACGGGGAACGCTGGGGTGCCACTCCACGGAGACTCTCCGACCCAGGGATGGCCTCTGCGTCTACGCGACGTGGAGAACACAGCCTGTGCCCGCATCCCCCCTCCCCCAGCCAAATTACGAAGATTTTCTTCTCCAGGTGGAACCTGGGCGACCGGACCTCGAGCAGGTCACCTCGGGCCCCCGCAGGGGGTGCGCCCATTTTGCCTGGGGCCTAACGTCTGCCCGCCAGCCCTGCCGCTCCAGGCCCCCGGCCTCCAGCCGCTGGTTTCCTGACCTCTCACACCCACCCCTCCCCGCTCCAGTCAACCAGAGCTGTATCTCGGCTTTAAAAACTGCCTCCTATTCTGCACAAACTACAAACACCATCCAGCCCTGCTGCAGCCTTGGCTCCATAGCCCCGGCCCCCTTTCCAGGTTCTTTCCAAGTCTCCCTACGGCCTCTCCACTCCTGTGGCAGCTTCAGCAGGTGCCAGCCCCACCTTGGGAAACCAGCGCTCAGCCTCAGCGAATTTCCCCTTCTTTTGGGGGAGTGAATGGATGTCTTTCTCTGTCGCCCGGTCTGGAGTGTAGTGGTGCGATCTCGACTCACCGCGGCCTTGACCTCCCGGGCTCAAAAGATCCTCCCACCTCAGCCTCCCGACCAGCTGGGACCACAGGCGGGGGTCACCACGCCCGGCTAGTTTGTAAATGTTTTTGTAGCAATGGGGGGCGGGGGTGGGTCTCGCTATTTTGCCCAGGCTGGTCTCGAACGCCTGGGCTCAAGCGATCTGCCCACCTCAGCCTCCCAAAGTGCTGGGATAACAGGCGTGGGCCACAGTGCCCGGGGAGTTTCCTCTTTGGAGTCCAGAAGCTACTCTCAGCATAAATGTTGATGTGCACAAAGATGTCCCGGGGAGCCCTGAGCGTGTGTCAGTGTTCTGTAAAGAGGGAAATATTAGAGGCCTACGGAAGAGTACGGAAAATAATATTAATACTACCCACGCCCCCCACTATCAAGATTAAACAGACATCAATACATTTTGCTGCATGTACTTGGGATTTATTAAAGACATACAAAATTAGTCATAACGACGGCCCCACTCTCATTTCTTCTTCCGCCCCACAGATAGTCACCGTGCTCAAGTTGGTACATATCATTCCAGTTTGTGTTTTTATACTTTTATTACATATGATGTAGAGATCCAGCAATGCTATATGGAATACCTAATTTTGTTTTTAAACTTTACAAAAATGACACCATACTGAATAATCATTTTGCATCTTTTTTCATTCTCCATTATGTTTTCGAGATATATTTGTGTCAATTCATTTATATGATAATATTCCATTATGTTTTTCACCTGTCTCTCAGACATAGCCTATAACTGGACTTTTTAGAAAATGTATTCTGAAAATATATCTCTGTTAGCTAGAATTTAGCTATTTTTATTAATTATAATTGGATTTTTTTTTCTGTTGTATTTTGTGTTATTTACCATGCTTTTTTTTTGTTGTTGGTTTGTTTTTGAGACGGAGTCTTGCTCTGTTACCCAGGCTGGAGTGCAGTGGCCTGATCTCAGCTCACTGCAAACTCTGCCTCTTGAGTTCAAGTGATTCTTGTGCCTCAGCCTCCCGAGTAACTGGGATTACAGGCTTGCGCCACCATGCCCGGCTAGTTTTTTTTTTTTTTTTTAAGACAGAGTCGCGCTCTGTCGCCCAGGCTGGAGTGCAGTGGTGCAATCTCGGCTCACTGCAATCTCTGCCTCCTGGGTTCAAGCTATTCTCCTGCCTCAGCCTCCTGAGTAGCTGGGATTACAGGTACACGCCACCACGCAGGCTAATTTTTTGTATTTTTTGTAGAGACGAGGTTTCACCATGTTGGTCAGGCTGGTCTCAAACTGCTGATCACAGGTGATCCACCTGTCTCGGCTTCCCAAAATGCTGGGATTGCAGGCGTGAGCCACCGCGCCTAGCATTTTTCTTTACATTTTATTTCTGCTTTTCTGTTACATTGTTTGGGTCAAGTTTCAGAGAACAGAACCATTCTAGATGGTTTAAGTACAAAAGAATATATTACAGGGTATAAAATGACTTCCAGACTTGTTTGGAGGGCTGAAGCAACCGACTCCAGGTTGAACTTTGAGGAATGACTTTGAGAGCTATGCTGCAATACTGAGCCACCAAAGGAGACACTGCCTCTTTTGAAATCAGGAAGCCATCTACTAAATTGGAAAGCTGTCTCTACACTTACCAGCTCTTGAACCATACAGGTATCATCATGATGAGAAGCCACTGCAGAAATATCAAGCATCGGCCAGGTGCAGTGGCTCACGCCTGTAATCCCAGCATTTTGGGAGGCCAAGGCGGGCAGATCGCCTGAGGTCAGGAGTTTGAGACCACCCTGACCAATATGGTGAAACCCTGTCTCTACTAAAAATACAAAAATTAGCCAGGTGTGGTGGCATGTGCCTGTAGTCCCAGCTACTCAGGAGGCTGAGGCAGGAGAATTGCTTAAATCCAGGAGGGGGAGGTTGCAGTCAGCCAAGATCACACCACTGCACTCCAGCCTGGGCCACAGAGGGAGACTCCGTCTCAAAAAAAAAAAAAAAAAAAAAAAAAAAGGCCAGGCTCAGTGGCTCACACCTGTAATCCCAGCACTTTGGGAGGCCGAGGTGTGGGTGGATCACCTGAGGTCAGGAGTTTGAGACCAGTCTGACCAACAAGGTGAAACCCGGTCTCTACTAAAAATATAAAAATTAGCAGGGCGTGGTGGCAGGCGCCTATAGTCCCAGCTACTCAGGAGGCTGAGACAGGAGAATTGCTTGAACCCAGGAGCAGAGGTTGCTGTGAGCCAAGATCACCCGACTGCACTCCAGCCTGGGCGACGAAGCGAGACTCCGTCTCAAAAAAAAAAAAAAAAAATCAAACACCTCCACCACAGCACTCCCCAGCATAAATAGCACACACAGACTTCACTTCACCTCCACCTTATACATCTCATGAGAGGAAATGATTGGAAAAACCAAAATTGTGTCCAAAATCCCTGCCACAAGGTCATCTAGGAAATGTAGATTCGACCTTTCAGCTTGTGCAATGTAGGGAGGACTGTAGAAAGATATTGAGATGAAAGGCTGGGTGCGGTGGTCGTGCCTGTAATCCCAGCACTTTGGGAGGCCAAGGCGGGCAGATCATGAGGTCAGGAGATCGAGACCATCCTGGCTAACACGGTGAAACCCCGTCTCTACTAAAAATACAAAAAAAATTAGCGGGGCGTGGTGGTGGCGGGCACCTGTAGTCCCAGCTACTCGGGAGGCAGAGGCAGGAGAATGGCGTGAGCCCGAGAGGCGGAGCTTGCAGTGAGCCGAGATCGCGCCACTGCACTCCAGCCTGGGTGACAGAGGGAGACTCCGTCTCACAAAAACAAATATATATATATATATATAGAGATGAGATGAGTATTAAGCTAAATCTACCATTATCTGTCCACCAATTCACCAGCATAGGCACCTGTCATAGCTGCACTCTGGTTCCATGTTTCTGGAATCTGATTTGGAGTATATTCATTCTACTTCTGTTCTTATTTGATTAACTTAATCATATTACATTTGGTTTTTTTTTTTTAGAGACAGGGTCTCACTGTGTTGCCCAGGCTGGACCTGAACTCGTGGGCTCAAGCCATCCTCCTGCCTCAGTTTCCTGAGAAGCTGGGATAATTTTCTAATCAAAAAATGTGAATTATTTAAGAAGTGAAATTTATAGGCTTACAATCGTAAAAAGATTTCTCAAGTCCTTTTTTTTTTTTTTTTTTTTTTTTTGAGACAGGGTCTCTTGCTCTGTTACCCAGGCTGGAGTGCAGTGAATGGAAAGATCAGGGCTCACTGCAGCCTCAGACACTCTCACCTCAGCGCCTCCTCAGTAGCTGGGACTACAGGTGCGTGGCACCATCCCTGGCTTGTTGTTTTTTTTTTTTAATTTTAGTAGAGACAAGGTCTTCCTATGTTGCTCAGGCTAGTCTTGAATTCCTGGGCTCAAGTGATCCCCCAAACTCAGCCTCCCAAAGTGCTGGGATTACAGGGATGAGCCACCATACATGGCCCCCAAGTCCTACTTTAAATGAAGTTAATCCTGCTGTTTTATGATATTTTAAAATTTTAGATAGTTAACTGTTCATTTTCTACCATAGAAAATGATGATTTGGCCATTTTATGCCCCAACAAAAATATAATTTTCCCTGACCTCATTCTTTCAATGTAGTTATGTGATCATTCTTGGTAAATCAATATTAAGTGGTTTTTAAATTATTATTGTTATTATTTTGAGACAGGGTCTCACTCTGTCACCCAGGCTGTAGTACAGTGGCATGATCTTGGCTCACTGCAGCTCCGACCTTCTGGGCTCAAGCAATCCTCCCACCTCAGCCTCCTAAGTAGCTGGGACTACAGGCACGCACCACCACACCTGGCTAAGTTTCTTCAGTTTTTGTAGTGATGAAGTCTTACCATGTTGCCCAGGCTGGTCTCGAACCCCTGGGCTCAAGGGATCCTCCCGCCTCGGCCTCCCAAAGTGCTGGGATTACAGGTATGAGCCACTGTGCTTGGCAATATTAAGCGTTCACATAGTGTAGCATAGTTCTATTTTGGTACAAATTTCTTTTTGGAGTTAAAAATTGCCTCTGTTATTGATTTGCTTAGATTTCTCTCAAGCCATTATTCATCCTTTCCCAAACTCCGACAGAGCTATGAAACATATGACTGAATCTATGAATGACTGGTTTTGGGGGAAGCTTCTTTTCTGGAGCGCTGTGCCCTCTGGCTGCATCCTGGGCTGTTCCCCAGCCTGCAGCACTGCTGTGGTGCAGTCCCCCTCACCATCACCCCAAGCTTCCCTCCGCCTCCTGTGTTCTCACCTCCGCTTCCCGGATCCCAGGTTGTCGTCTTGCCATGTGTACACCTTCACTTTGGTGGAGTACATTCTCCAATAGTTTCCTGGAGAGAAAAAGGGTACGTGAAAGATAAAATCTCTGAGACTGTGTGTGAAGATGGTTTTATTTTACCCTCCTGTTTGATTATTAGCTTGGCTAAGAGTAGGGCTTCTCTGGAAATGCTTTTCATTTAGATCTTTGAATGCATTGGGTCACTGTTTTCTCACTTTCAGTGTTGCTACTGAGAAGGCCACTCACATTCGGTTTCCTTTTCCTTTGTAGGTGACCTGTTTTTTTGTTTGTTTGTTTTTGGTTTTTTTTTTTTTGGTTTATTGTTTTTTGTTTTTGAGATGGAGTCTTGCTCTGTCACCTAGGCTGGAGTGCAGTGGCGCAATCTCAGCTCACTGCAACCTCTGCCTCTTGGGTTCAAGCGGTTCTCCTGCCTCAGCCTCCTGAGTACCTGGGATTACAGGCACGCACCACCATGCCTGGCTAACTTTTTTTGTATTTTTAGTGGAGACAGGGTTTCACCATGTTGCCCAGGCTGGTCTCAAACTCCTGGGCTCATGCGATTCACCCTCCTCAGCCTCTGAAAGTGCTGGGATTACAGGCATGAGTCACAGCACCTGGCATCTTTCTGGAACTTTTGTTAGTTAATGGGCCTCCTAGATTGCTCTTCTAATTTTCTTATCTTTTGTCTCCTATTTTCTATTTACTTGTCTTTTGTTATTTTCCTATTTCCTGATATATTTTCTCAGCTTCATTTTCCAATCCTTCTGTTAAACTTTTATTTCTACCATTATCTTTTTTTTTTTTTTTGAGATGGAGTTTCACTCTTCTCGCCCAGGCTGTAGTGCAATGGTGCCATCTCAGCTCACTGCAACCTCTGCCTCCCGAGTTCAAGCAATTCTCCTGCCTCAGCCTCCATAGTAGCTGGGATTACAGGTGCCTGCTACCACGCCCAGCTAATTTTTTTGTATTTTTAGTAGAGACAGGGTTTCACCATGCTGGCCAGGCTGATCTCGAACTCCTGACCTCAAGTGATCCTCCCACCTCGGCCTCCCGAAGTGCTGGGATTACAAGAGCAAGCCACCGTGCCCAGCCTCTACCATTATCTTTCAATTGAAAAGATTAAGGCTGAGCAAGGTAGTGAGACTTCATCTCTATGGAAAAAAAAAAAAGTTAGTCTGCCATGGTGGTATGTGACTGTAGTCACAGCAACTCAGGAGTCTGAGGTGGGAGGATCCCTTGAGTCTGGGAGGTTGAGGTTGCAGTGAGCTGTAATTCTGTCACTGCACTCCAGCCTGGGTGACAGAGCAAGACCCTGTCTCAAAAAAAAAAAAAAAAAAGGATTAATAAGAACTCTCTGTGTTTCCCTAAAATTTCTTTTTTGAATAGCATTCTGTACTCATTTCATGGATGTGATATTAATTTTAGGTTACTTCTGTTTTTACTTTTTTTCTACTTTTTACATTGTCACCTTTTGTTTTGTCTGAATTCATTTTTATTTGTTTGTTCATTTTGATCTTCCTCTGCAGGCTTTCCTCAAACCTCTGGTGATCTTTGACTCTCCATTAGTCAGAGACACTAAATATGTATAGATTGTTTCTGGAAATAAAAGATTTTAAAATATATATGTGTATCTGGCCAGGTGCAGTGGCTCATGCCTGTAATCCCAGCACTTTGGGAGGCCGAGGTGGGTGGATCACTTGAGGTCAGGAGTTCAAGACGAGCCTGGCCGACGTGACAAAACCCTCTCTCTATTAAAAATACAAAAATTAGCCGGGCCTGGTGGCGAGCAGCTGTAGTCCCAGCTACTCAGGAAGCTGAGGCAGGAGAATCGCTTGAATCCTGGAGGAGGAGGTTGCAATGAGTCATGGTTGTGCCACTGCACTCCAACCTGGGCGACAGAGCAGGACTCCATCTCAAATATATGTGTGTGTGTGTGTGTGTGTGTGTGTGTGTGTGTGCTCTGTTTTGTAGCAAAGATCACTGATTGTCTCCCAATATTCATTCTCCCCTTCTTCCTTTTTTTTTTTTGAGACGGATTCTTGCTCTGTCACCCAGGCTGGAGTGCAGTGGCACGATCTTGGCTCACTGCAACCTCTGCCTCCTCAGTTCAAGCGATTCTTCTTCCTCAGCCTCCCTAGTAGCTGGGATTACAGGTGTGCACCACCACACCCAGCCAATTTTTTGTATTTTCAGTAGAGACGGGGTTTCACCATGTTGGCCAGGCTGGTCTCGAACTTCTGACCTCAGGTGATCCACCAGCTTCGGCCTCCCAAAGTGCTGGGATTACAGGTGTGAGCCACTGCACCCGGCCCCTTCTTCCTTTTTTAAAAGAAATCCTGAGCTTTAGCTGAGCACATCTAGGCCCAACTAAAGCCAGCTGAAGACTACATTTCCCATCCTCCCTTGCAAATAGCTATGGTCATGCGACTATGTTCTGCCCAATGGGGTGTGAGCAGAAGTAATATGGACAACTCTGGGATTCTGTCCTTATATGAAAGAAAAAATGGCCTTCTTTTTTCTCTTCTGTCTTCTCACTGACTGCCATGTGGATATTGTGACAGGATTGGGAGCAGCAGCTGGGCACAGTGGCTCACGCCTGTAATCCCAGCACTTTGGGAGACTGAGGCAGGAGGATCACTTGAGCCCAGGAGTTCGGGACCATCCTGGGCAACAAAGAGAGACCCCATCTTTACAAAATAAAAATTAGCCAGGGGTGGTGGCACATACCTGTAGTCCCAGCTACCCAGGAGGCTGGTTTTGGTGAAGACGGTTTTATTTTACCCTCCTATTTGATTGTTAGTTTGGCTAAGAAGAGAGCCTCCCTGGAAATGCTTTCCATTTAGATCTTTGAATGCATTGCTTTGCTGTTTGTGCAATGATGATGGTTTGAGCCTAGGAGTTTGAGGCTGCAGTGAGTTATGATTGTGCCGCTGTATTCTAGCCTGGGTGACAGAGCAAGACCCCATCTCTAAAGACTGACAGACAGAGCAGCCATCTTAGACCATGAGATGAAAACTATGTGTTGAGAATGCCAGCACAATGGTAGCAAAGTAGCCTGGGTCCCCAGCACTGGGGAACCACAATATTAGCTCTGGGCTGCCTCTGGACTGTTACGTGACTGAGAGATAAGCATCAATTTTGTTTAAAGCCCTGTTATTTTAGCCTTTGTTACAGGAACTTAACTCGGACCCATTATACTTAAATAGAAAAATTGTTATAAACATATCAAGATGTGGCTCACAATAGTTGCCTTTGGGAACGTAGGGACTCCTGGGCAACTTTTATCTTCTATTTTATACATTTCTAAATTATTTGCTTTTTTTTTTTTTTTTTTTTGAGGTGGAGTCTCGCTCCGTTACCCAGGATGGAGTGCAGTGGCGTGATCTCAGCTTACCACAACCTCCACCTCCCAGGTTCAAGCGATTCTCCTGCCTCAGCCTCTCGAGCAGCTGGGACCACCGGCGCGTGCCACCATGCCCGGCTAATTTTTGTATTTTTAGTAGAGATGGGTTTCCACCATGTTGGCCAGGCTGGTCTTGAACTCCTGACCTCATGATCTGCCTGCTCTGGCCTCACAAAGTGCTGGGATTACAGGCATGAGCCACTGCGCCCAGCCCTATTTGCACCGTATGTCCCCCAAATATCGGTATCTCTAGGGTTTGGTCTGGGTTTTCTTTTGTTTATATGTGGGTTTTTCTGTTTATTTTTCTCTCAGACAGGTCAATTTTCTTCTGCCTGAAGAATCGTCCATTCTTCTGTCCAGGTATGTAAGCCTGGCTGCTAGTGTTCTGGGAGCTAAATGGGAAGAGAGAAAAGAGAAGCTGCAGGTCTCAGTGTTTGATGTGTAGACTTTCTCTTAATCCCCCTGTTTTCAGATGGTACCTCCATCCCAGCTTTTGCCCTGTCTCACCCTAAGTGCAGAATCTTTCTGGCTCAATTGCCCCAGAGTTCACATCTTGTGTACAGTTAGGGAGAGGAGAAGTAGTCACCTAGCTTTGAGCAGTTGGGGAGTGGATCTGGGCATCTAACTGTTCCTTGCACAGTTTCCATCAATCTTTGTGCTTTCAGCCCTGTCGCTCCCCTCTTTTGGTGCCTCTGGTCCTTCTGAAGTTCTCGAGTGGAAATCAGCTTGCTTCTTATTAGCTTTTCCCCTTCACTTTGGTTCTCAGGCACTTTGGTGTCAGCTTGCTATGTTCTGCTTTGTTGATTACCATTGATCCTTGTGTGGCGGGCCATGGCTAGGCCTGCCCCTGGAAAGCCCCTACCTGGACAGAAGTTAAAAGTCAAGGCAGGCCGGGCACAGTGGCTCAAGCCTATAATCTCAGCACTTTGGGACGCTGAGGCAGGAGGATCACTTGAGGCCAGGAGTTTGAAACCAGCCTGGACCTAGCAAGACCCCATTTCTACAAAATAAAAAATAAACATAATTAGCTGAGTGTGGTGGTGCATGTCTATAGTGCCAGCTACTCGGGGGCTGAGGATGGAGGATTATTGAGCCCAGGAGTTCAAGGTTGCAGTGAACCATGTTCAGGTTCACATTTAACCATTTTTTCTTCTTCACAGACTGTTTTCCCATCTGAAAATTCTATTTAATTCCTTTTCAAATCCGCCTCCTTTTTATTTAGAATGCTTCTCTGTTCTTATTTTTTAATTCTTTTATGCTTTTAGTTATACTAATTTTTATAATTTTCTCTCAGCATCTAGTTCTATTATCTCAGGATTTGGGAGCTCTAAACCTATTTGTTGTATCTGCTGGCTGTTGCTTCTGGTGGATTGTTTTCTAATGTTTTTAACTATGCTTCTATCTTTAAGGGGGCTTAAATTTTTTTTCCTGTGAGAATCCTGGGTAGTAGGAATATGACTCAAGTATAGTTTTGTTTCTGTTTCGTGAGTCACAGGATATCAGTTACTAGACAAAGGAATTTTATTACATGGATCCTATAAATTCATACCTAAAAACCCATTTTTTTAAAAGGTGGAGTCTGTCTGTCACCCAGGCTGGAATGCAGTGGTGTGAACATGGCTCACTGCAGCCTCAACCTTCTGGGATCAAGCAATCCTCCCACCTCAGCCTCCCAAGTAGGTGGGGGCACAGACATGTACCACCACTCTCAATTCATTTATTTTTATTTTTTGTAAAGACAGGATCGTGCCATGCTGCCCAGGCTGGTCTTGAACTCCTGGGCTCAAGCAGTCCCCCCACCTCAGCTTCCCAAAGTGTTGAGATTACAGGTGTGAGCCACCATACACAGCAGATTTTTGATTTCTCAAAGGGCTTTTTATTTTTTTCCCTCCCACAGCCCAGCCAGAGACAGTCAAGCTCCCATGTTAACTTTGCCAGTGGATAGATTTTACCTTTTCGGATCTGGAATTTTACTCTACTTACAAACTAATACATTACCTGTTACTTTTTTTTTTTTTTTTTAGATAGCTATGTCTCTTGCTGTATCACCCAGGCTGAAGTGCAGTGGCACAATGATGGCTCATTGCAGCCTCAACCTCCCAGGCACAACTGATCCTTCCACCTCAGCCTCCCAAGTAGCTGGGACTAGAGGTGCACACCACCATGCCTGGCTAATTTTTGTAGCTTTTTGTAGAGATGGGGTTTCACATGTCACCCAGGCTGGTCTTGAACTCCTGGGCTCAAGCAATCAGCCCCCTCTCAGCCTCCCAAAGTGCTGGGATTATAGGTGTGAGCCACAGCACTTAGCCTACACCTGTTCCTATTTTCATGGATGACTGCAGGAGGCATGATATTCCTGGGTCGGAGACAAAGACTTTATTACTCACTACAAAGTAGCATGAGGATCATTTTTGTGTCAATTCCTCTTGCCCACCAAGTCCCACAGAAATGATACAGATGGATGCCTACACATACAATGGGTTCTGTTCTGTTATGGGAGAGGAATAACCTACTTTTTGTCCCAGAAGAAGACATAACCTCATTACCCAAAGTTGCTCACTGCAAACACAACTCTGATAAATGGCCCAGTGAAGTGTGATCAGAGCTTTGCATTTGTGGATAACTAGCAAGAATGCCCAGGAATTCTCAAGGCCCATAGAGGATTGCCTCCCCAAACACACATTTTCCTTGAGTATAACCTTTTGAGGGTCCTGGCTTGGGTTCCAGGTCTAACTCCCTGACTCATGCAAGTCCATCATCTCCTTTTACCAAGTGGGTGTCAAAAACTGAACTCCAACTGTCACAGCAAAGAGGGGCCTAAGATGACATGATGACTAAATGTAATGTATCCTGAGTGGGATCCTAGAAGAGAAAAAGGTAAAAACTAGGGAAATCTGGACAACGCATGGATTTTAGTCCATTTAAAATGAGCAAACAAGCAAAAACCTAAAGTTCCCGGGTTGTTGGATAGATAACCATATATTTACCATTTGATTTTCAGTCACTTGAGGGTTTCCTTGTGAACTCAACTATGCAGTTTTTTTTTCTTTTGAGACAGAGTTTCACTTTTGTCACCCAGGCTAGAGTACAGTGGCGTGATCTCAGCTCAATGCAACCTCCGCCTCCCAAGTTCAAGTGATTCTCCTGCCTCAGCCTCCCAAGTAGCGGGGATTACAGGCACCCACCGCCACGCCCAGCTAGGTTTTGCTTTTTAGTAGAGACAGGGTTTCACCATGTTGGCCAGGCTGGTCTCAAACTCCTGACCTCAGGTGATCCACCTGCCTCAGCCTCCCAAAGTGCTGGGATTACAGGCGTGAGCCACCACGCCCAGCCTCAACTGTGCATTTCTATTGTGTTGGAACCAGCATTATGTTGGATCCGCATTTCTAGGTGTTTCCTTTTACCTTGGTCTATGACCTTGTTGGAATACAGGTGTTTGTTTAAATTTTGTATTCCTACTTCCCAAACCCAAAGACCGTGATTTACTGATCTAGGGCACAGGATTGTGCCTTTATCACAAATGATTCTGATATAGGTGGTCTATGGGTCAAACATTAGGAAATACTGCTGTTAAGAATGGTATCAGTCAGGCGTGATGGCCCATACCTATAATCTCAACACTTTGGGAGGCCAAGGTGGGTGGATCAACTGAGGTCGGGAGTTTGAGACCAGCCTGACCAACATGGAGAAACTCTGTCTCTACTAAAAATAAATAAAACAAATTAGCCAGCCGTCGTGGTGCATGCCTGTAATCCTAGCTACTCCAGAGGCTGAGGCAGGAGAATCGCTTGAACCTGGGAGGCAGAGGTTGTGGTGAGCCCAGATCATGCCATTGCATTCCAACCTGGGCAACAAGAGCGAGACTCCGTCTCAAAAAAAAAAAAAAAAAAAAAAGGAATCATAGAGGATGGGTGCAGTGGCTCACACCTGTAATCCAAGCTGAGAGGGGTGGATCAACTGAGGTCAGGAGTTTGAGACCAGCCTGGCCAACATGGTGAAACCCCATCTCTACTAAAAATACAAAAATTAGCCAGGCGAGGTGGTGGGCGCCTGTAATCCGAGCTACTTGGGAGGCTGAGGCACGAGAATTGTTTGAACCCTGGAGGCAGAAGTTGCAGTGAGCGGAGATCACGCCACTGCACTCCAGCCTGGGCAACAGAGTGATACTCTGTCTCAAAAAAAAAAAAAAAAAGAAAGAAAAAAGAATGGAATCACAGACTGGGTTAAATAACTAATATGGCCTGTACTTTTGAAATTGAAAATAATCAGCTTCTTGATATGCAAATACTCCCTGTAATCTGTTGCAGCCACCATAAAGACAGACACCACTTCTCAGCCTCACCTCACAGAGTAGGTAGTGTGACCAGCATAGTTATTGAGACTTAGGGGAAAGCCCATTGGAAAGCTTCTAGGAAACTTTTGGTTTTCAGATAAAAGGAGCATATCCGGCCGGGCGTGGTGGCTCACGCCTGTAATCCCAGCACTTTGGGAGGCTGAGGCAGGCAGATCACAAGGTCAGGAGATCGAGACCATTCTGGCTAACATGGTGAAACCCAGTCTCTACTAAAAAATACAAAAAATTAGCCGGACATGGTGGCAGGTGCCTGTAGTCCCAGCTATTCGGGAGGCTGAGGCAGGAGAATGGCATGAACCCGGAAGGCGGAGCTTACAGTGAGCTGAGATCGCGCCACTGCACTCCAGCCTGGGTGACAGAATGAGGCTCCATCTCAAAAAAAAACAAAACAAAACAAAAAAAAGGAACATATCCAGCTGCAACCAGCCCCTTTCTGCTTTCTATCTTGAATGCAAATATGATGCCTGGAGCAATGGAGCCACCTTGCAACCATGAAAAGAGAGAGCATAAAAACATTCAATATTCAGAATGATAGAAAACAAGCTCGATCAGTGTTCACATTTTGAGTAGCTAAATCAACTTGTAACTGTTTTCTTGTAAACTTATTATGTAAAATAAAGGTAACCCTGTTTGTTTAAACTGCTGAGTTTTCCTTTTCTTCTTTCCTTCCTTCCTTCTCTTTCTCTCTCTCTCCCCCACCCCCCTCCCTTTCTCCCCTTCCTCCTTCCTTTCTTCCTTCCTTTTTCTTTCTTTCTGATAGATCTTACTACGTAGCCCAGGCTGGAGAGCAGTGGCTATCCACAGGCACGATCATAGTGCACCACAGCCTTGAACTCCTGGGCTCAAGCAATTGTTCTGCCTCAGCCTCCCAAGTAGCTGGTGTGCATGACCACGCCCCACTGGTTTTTGCATTTCTTGTAGCCAAACTATTCCTGATATGGTTAGGTAAAGATCCTCATTTCTTTTAAAAACTTTTTATTTGGCTGGGCGCAGTCGTTCATGCTTGTAATCCCAGCTCTTTGGGAGGCTGAAGCCGGCAGATCACTTGAGGTCAGGAGATCGACACCAGACTGGCCAACATGATGAAACTCCGTCTCTACTAAAAATACAAAAATAAGCCGGGCTTGGTGGCAGGTGCCTGTAATTCCAGCTACTCGGGAGGCTGAGGCAGGAGAATCACTTGAACCCGGCAGGCAGAGGTTGCAGGGAGCCGAGATTATGCCACTGCACTCCAGCCTGGATGACAGAGCGAGACTCCGTCTCAAAACAAAAACAAAATCAAAAACAAAACTTTTTATTTTTGTGTAATTTCAGACTTAAAGAAAAGTTGCAATAACACAAAGAATTCCTATATACTCTTTACCCAGGTCCTCCAAATGTTAACATTTTACTGTACTAGTTTCATCATTTCTCTCTCTATATGTTCATTTTTTTCTAAACCATTTAAGAGTAAGTTGATACGATGCTCCTTTACTCCTAAATACTTTATTTCATAAAAACAAGAATATTCTCTTACATAATCACAGCATAATTATCAAAGTCAGGAAATTATTAACATTGTATAATACTATTATCTAATTTATAGATATTATTAAAATTTTGGCTCAGTGTCTCAATTCCCAATAATATTCTTTTTTTTTTTTTTTTTTTTTTTGTCTTGAGACGGAGTCTCCGTCACCCAGGCTGGAGTGCAGTGGCACAATCTCAGCTCACTGCAACCTTTGCCTCCTGGATTCAAACAATTCTCCTGCCTCAGCCTCCCGAGTAGCTGGGATTACAGGTGACTGCCACCATGCCCAACTGATTTTTGTATTTTTAGTAGAGACGGGGTGTCACCATGTTGACCAGGCTGGTTTCAAACCCCTAACCTCAAGTGATCTGCCATCCTCAGCCTCCGAAAGTGCTGGGATTACAGGCGTGAGCCACTGTGCCCCACCCCAATAATATTCTTTATGGCAAACGACACTCTAGGACAACTCATCATATTCAGGTATCATGTCTCTTTAGGATACTTTAATCTGGAACAGTTGTTCAGTCTATTTGTCTTTTATGACCAAAAATTTCTGAAGTGACAGGTCAGTTATTTTGTAGAATATTCCTTAATTAGGGTTTGTCTTATGTTTGTTCATGATTCTTTTCAGATTATGCACTTTTGGCAGGAATCACACAGGAGCAACGCTGTGTTCTCACTTTAGCCATATCAGGAGGGACACGATGTCAAGGTGTCCCATTACTGATATTAAACTTGGATCATTTGGTTAAGGTGATGTCTGCCAGGTTTCTCCAATATAGAATTTCTTTCTTTTTTTTTTTTTTTTTTTGAGACAGAGTCTTGGTCTGTCTGTTGCCCAGGCTGGAGCACAGTGGCATGATCTTGGCTCACTGCAACCTCCACCTTCCGGGTTCAAGCAATTCTCCTGCCTCAGCCTCTTGAGTAGCTGGGAATATAGGTGCGTGTCATCACGCCTGGCCAATTTTTTTGTATTTTTAGTAGAGACAGGGTTTCACCGTCTTGGCCAGGCTGGTCTTGAACTCCTGACCTCGTGACCCACCTACCTCGGCCTCTCAAAGTGCTAGGATTAGAGGTGTGAGCCCCCACACCCGGCCCACTATAAAATTTCTATTATTTCTTTTTGTAATCAGTAAGTATCTCGAAGGGGGATAATCTGAGATGATATAAACATCCTGTTATTCGGGCTGAGGCAGGAGGATTGTTTGAGCTCAGCAGTTCAAGACCAGGCTGGGCAAGATGGCAAAACCCCATCTCTACAAAAAATACAAAAATTAGCCAGGCACGGTGGCGTGTGCCTGTGGTCCCAGCTACTGAAGAGGCTGAGGTGGGAGGATTGCTTGAGCCTGGGAGGTGGAGGTTATAGTGAGGTGAGATCACACCACTGCACTCCAGCCTGGGTGACAGAGCTAGATCCTGTCTCAAAAATAAATAAATAAATAAATAAATAAATAAATAAATAAATAAAATTTAAAAATCCTGTTATTCCACAAGCTTGTACCCACTAGTTTTAGTATGCATTGATAATTATTGCCCCTTTCCCATTTATTTGTTTATATCAGAATGGACTCATGAATTCTAATTTTAATGGGTTATAATTCATTACTGGTTGGGGTTCAGTCAGGCTGGTGGGAAAAATTTTAGTTATAATAGCCACAAACCCTCTTGGAAGGCCTGAGAGTTTGCATAATTGTGGTAATAGATCTGGCTGAAGGCAGCCTAGTCCCTTTACCTTTAAATAGATTAAAGTAGATACAAAGAAATGTGGGGGAGTTTATCTAAACTAGCTTGTTTACTCATGTGGTCCTAAGACTAACCTTTGATCTACTGTGGGTGCTTAATTGCTTTCTACTCAGGAGGTTGGCAATGTCAATTACCCTCTAGCTGTGTTGACTCAAGCCTTTGTCAATTAATCTTTACTGAACAAATGTGAGTCTCCCTGGATGGTGGAGGCCACGGCTGCTACTCTTTATAGCACTCTTCTTGGAGTCTGTAAGTGGCCCAGATGCTCAGCTGGACTGGCAAAGCAGAATATCTGTGTCAGTGTACTTTATTCATCTGTTGTTGGGTCTGCGGGACAGACCCCTGCAACTACTGTTATTATTTTAGTACTTAAAATTATCCCAGATTTACTGTCTGCATCCTTTTACCATGTTTCCATTTTTTTTAGTATTTCTTCCTGTCTAGGCACCCAATATTTTAGGCTCATGTTGTACTTTGTCTGCTTGGCCCCAGAATCAGCCATTTCTCCATGGAGCCCTGGTTCCTTTTAGTGGAGAAGGGTGTTTGGACACTGGTTCTCCTTTTTTTCTGGGAGCTAGTTCTGAGTTAGCTTTTTTTTTTTGCTTTGCTTTTTTTTTTTTCTGAGGCGGAGTCTCACTGTCACCCAGGCTGGAGTGCAGTGGCTTGGTCTCGGCTCACTGCAATCTCTCCCTCCCAGGTTCAAGTGATTCTCCTGCCTCAGCCTACGGAGTAGCTAGAACTACAGGCATGCACTGCCACACCAAGCTAAGTTTTTGTATTTTTAGTACAGACAGGGTTTCATTATGTTGGCCAGGCTGGTCTCAAACCCCTGACCTCAGGTGATCCACCTGCCTTGACGTCCCAAAGTGCTGGGATTACAGGTGTGAGCCACCGTGCCTGGCCTCTGAGTTAGCATTAAACAGGAGGAGTTTGACTTTAATTCTCATCACATCATTTTTTCTGTCATGTGCCTTTTCAGCTCCCACCATAAAGGTCTCTGTACCTCCGTCCCCATAGGCATTGGGAATATTTTTCTCCAGAAACAAAAGCCAGTGGCTATGAGCAACTATCATAAGTTTATCAAGTGCACATTCTTATACATCACATCAAAATTATTTTCTAGACAAGTGGGGACAAAATTTACACAGAACAAGTATCTGCAATTTAAGAACAAAAGTTTTAAACAAACTTACCAAAATAGAAATGTAGAATGGAGTCCAAAATTCTTTGACAAATGTGGCATACAAATGCACATTTTTGCTTTTCTGTTTCCTAGGTAATATTTACCATTTGTTGAAAGCTTAAAGTCGGGTTCTGTTCTAGCTTCCTCTTTTCTCCAGGATTTCGAAGAATGTGTTCCATGGAACATGAGTTTCACTGATGGCTAATAGGAGCTTTCTAAAGGGTAAGAGGGAGGGGATTGTGTGGTCAGATACATTTGGGGAAAGCTATGCTACACAAAGCTAAGCAAGTTTCTTGACTGTAGAACTTCTCAGAGCTTTTTTTTTTTTTTTTTTTTGGACAGAGTCTCACTCTGTCGCCCAGGCTGGAGTGCAATGGCACGATCTTGGCTCACTGCAACATCTGCCTCCTGAGTTCAAGAGATTCTCCTACCTCAGCCTCCTGAGTAGCTTAGACTACAGGCACGTGCTACCATGCCCAGCTAATTTTTTGTATTTTTAGTAGAGCCAAGGTCTCACCATGTTGGCCAAGCTGTTCTCAAACTCTTGACCTCAGGTGATCCACTTGCCTCAGCCTCCCAAAGTGTTGGAATTACAGGCGTGAGCCACCATACCCAGCCCTAAGGGCTTTTACATATGTGTTGTGACTTCCAAATATGACAGAATACAACATTTCCCAAACTTCCTTGATCACAGAATACTTCTTCAGGAGTACTTGCCAGCCCTATGCCCCACTATTCCTTCCCCTAATGTTCAGTGAATCCATTCTACTTCCTAAATACCTCTAGAATTCTCCCACCACCTCTTCCATCCTAACAACCACTGTCTAATTCAGGCCACCAAATCCCTCACTAATTGAGGCCTTAATTGGTCCTCTTGTGTCAGGAATTGGTAGGTTCTTGGTCTCACTAACTTCAAGAATGAAGCCGCAGACCCTTGCGGTGAGTGTTACAGCTCTTAAAGTGGCGCGTCTGGAGTTTGTTCTTTCTGATGTTCGGATGTGTTTGGAGTTTCTTCCTTCTGGTGGGTTCGTGGTCTCGCTGGCTTAGGAGTGAAGCTGCAGACCTTCACGGTGAGTGTTACAGCTCTTAAGGTGGCGCATCTGGAGTTGTTCGTTCCTCCTGGTGGGCTCGTGGTCTCGCTGTCTTCAGGAGTGAAGCTGCAGACCTTCGCGGTGAGTGTTACAGCTCATAAAAGCAGTGGGGACCCAAACAGCAAAAGAACAAAGCTTCCACAGTGCGGAAGGAGACCCGAGAGGGTTGCCACTGCTGGCTCCGGCAGCCTGCTTTTATTCTCTTATCTGGCCCCACCCACATCCTGTTGATTGGTAGAGCCCAGTGGTCTGTTTTGCCAGGGCGCTGATTGGTGAGTTTACAATCCCTGAGCTAGACACAAAGGTTCTCCACGTCCCCACTAGATTAGCTAGATACAGAGTGTCTACACGAAGGTTCTCCACGTCCCCACCAGAGTAGCTAGAAACAGAGTGTCGATTGGTGTATTCACAAAGCTGCTGGCCCAGGTTCTAAGCCCCTCACTGCCCGGGGCGGTGGGGCCAGCCGGCCGCTCCAAGCGCAGGGTCCGCGGAGCCCACGCCCACCCGGAACTCACGCTGGCCGGCAAGCACCGCGCGCAGTCCCGGTTCCCGCCAGCGCCTCTACCTCCACACCTCGCCACAAGCTGAGGGAGCCGGCTCCGGCCTTGGCCAGCCCAGAAAGGGGCTCCCACAGTGCAGCGGCAGGCTGAAGGGCTCCTCAAGTGCCGCCAAAGTGGGAGCCCAGGCAGAGGAGGCGCCGAGAGCGAGCAAGGGCTGTGAGGACTGCCAGCACGCTGTCACCTCTCACTCTTGTGTATCAGTCAGGGACCCAGCAGAATACAGGTGGCATAATCCAATTGAGTAATTTGAAGAGAAGTTAATAAAGAGACAGGGCGGGGTTTAGCGATATGGCAGGACCCCCTGAGGCTAGTTACAGCAGGAATCATTAGCTTTCTAGGCCTGAAGGGAATTGGGTGTGGGATTGCTTACTGCAGTGGGGAGAGGTGGTTGTCTGAAGGGAGCTGCCTGACAGGAGCTCTGGTCTTTGGTAGAGAGAGGCAGCTGATTCCTAGTGACCTGGCAGAATTGCTTTCTTCCAGACCTCCGGTCTCCTGGTAGTGCTTCCTGTTGGCCAAACCCACGCAGAAGCTGGAGAGAGACAGCGATGCCGTCCATGTGGCCAGCTTCCCAGGGCACAGGGGAGGGTGAGGGGTGGAGAATGGATCTCAACGAACAAAAAGGAGATATCCAGCACAACCTCGCACCTAGCCTCCCCGCCCTCATCCATCCTGCACATCTCTGACCTCTTCTTGCTCTTCTTCAAATCCATCAATTGCCCCCCTGCCCCACGTCCTTGGAATAAAATTTGGTACTCGGCCAGGCGCGGTGGCTCATGCCTGTAATCTCAGCACTTTGAAAGGCCAAGGCTGGTGGATCACCTGAGTTCAGGAGTTCGAGACCAGCCTGGCCAACATGGTGAAACCCAGTCTCTACTAGAAATACAATAATTAGCTTGGTGTGGTGGCAGTCACCTGTAATTCCAGCTACTCAGGAGGCTGAGGCAGGAGAATCTGTTGAACCTGGGAGGCGGAGGTTGCAGTGAGCCAAGATTGCGCCACTGCACTCCAGCCTGGGTGACAACAGCAAAACTCCATCTCAAAAAAAAAAAAAAAAAAAATTGATACTAGCTCATGGGAGCTGATTGCAAGCGTCTCTTCTCAGCTCTACTTTCTGTGACCAACAACATCAAGTTGGTAGCTTGAAATCAGCTTTGGGGAAGTATTCATACCACAGAATTGGCAAATGCTACTACTCAAGGCACTTTTTCCTTTCACTGAGCTCACATACATTAGGTAAAAGTATTTTATATTAAAAAATTGTTTTGTCATAAACTCACGAAGTGTTTTTCTCTTTTAAAAATTTTCCATTGAAAAAGCTTAGGCTGGATGTGGTGGCTCATGCCTGTAATCCCAGAACTTTAGGAGGCCGAGGAGGGCGGATCACCTGAGGTGGGGAGTTCGAGACCAGCCTGACCAACATGGAGAAACCCCCATCTCTACTAAAAAAAAAAAAAAAAATTAGCCGGCCGTGATGGCGCATGTCTGTAATCCCAGCTACTCGGGATTGCTTGAACCCGGGAGGTGGAGGTTGCTGTGAGTCGAGATCGTGCCATTGCACTCCAGCTGTGGGCAACAAGAGTGAAACTCTGTCTCAAAAATAAATAAATAAATAAATAAATAAATAAATAAAAATTTAAAAAAAGAAGAAAAAGCTAGAGGCCAGGTGCAGTGGCTCACGGCTATAATCCCAGCAATCCCAAGATCATCTGAGGTCAGGAGTTTGAGACCAGCCTGGCCAACATGGTGAAACCCCATCTCTACTAAAAATACAAAATTAGCTGGGCTTGGTGGCACATGCCTGTATCCCAGTTACTCGGGTGGCTGAGGCAGGAGAAATCACCTGAACTTGGGAGGCAGAGGTTGCAGTGAGCTGAGATCGTGCCATTGTACTCCAGCCTGGAAGACAGAGTGAGACTCCATCTCAAGAAAAAAAAGAATTTTTATGAATATGTATATCGATATACATACAGTGGATTGAAAGACATGGAATATATTAAAAAGCCAGGGGTTCATTATGATTTTTGAAAAACAAAGGCTCCCTGGTCATTTAGAGCCCACTAGGGAAGCAGCTTATTCTGAAAACTAGTAAACAAAGGGAGAGAATCAAGCACTCATCATCTGTTCCTGAATGAATGTTCTACAAGGCAACAAAATAGTTGAAGAGAGGAAGTTTTTTTTTTTTTAAGGAGAATTCTGTTAAATAAAGAAGGAATGATATTAATAGCATATCACCATTTTGCAACCCCCAATGAAATAAGAGGCTGGGCATGGTGGTTCACGCCTGTAATCCCAGGACCTTGGGAGGCCAAGGCAGGAGGACCACTTGAGCACAGGAGTCTGAGACTAGCCTGGGCAACATAGTGAGACTTCGTCTCTAAAAAAAGTGAAAAAATACTAAAAAAAATAGGCCAGGTGCAGTGGCTTATGCCTGTAATCCCAGCACTTTGGGAGGCTAAGTCGGGCGGATCATGAGGTCAAGAGATTGAAACCATCCTGGCCAATGTGGTGAAACCCTGTTTCTAATAAAAATACAAAAAATTAGCTGGGCATGGTGGCACGTGCCTGTAGTTCCAGCTACTCAGGAGGCTGAGGCAGGAGGATCACTTGAACCTGCCTCTTAGCTGAGCTCATGCCACTGCACTCCAGCCTGGCAACAGAGCAAGACTTTGTCTCAAAAAAAAAAAAAAAAAAAAAAAAGTAAAATAAATAAATAAATAAATGTAGGCAGCCATTACCAGTGGCTGCTGAATCCATGTGATACGTGGTGAAAGCCGATGGGAAATTATAATGAATGGGTCAAGCTGGCAACATCTGAATCCAAAGATCAGCCTTTACATCATAAAAACATAAGCCCTGACATGATGTAATAGGAAAACCAAAGTATTCTTGCCACAAGATTGAAACTGAGTCTGATCCACAGGATGACATGAGAAACCCAGAATGTGATTCTACAGGATTAGCATCAAATACATTGCAAGGAAAAAAAAAAAAAAGGCTGGGTGCGGTGGCTCACTCCCATAAACCCAACACTTTGGGAGGCTGAGGCAGGGAGATCACTTGAGGTCAGGAGTTTGAGATCAGCCTGGACAACTTAGTGAAACCCCATATCTACTAAAAAATACAAAAATTAGCTGGACATGGCGGCACATGCCTGTATCCCAGCTACTGAGGAGTCTGAGGCAGAGAAACTGCTTGAACCCAAGAGGTGGAAGTAGCAGTGGGCCAAGATCACGCCACTGAACTCCAGCCTGGGTGACAGAACGATACCCTGTCTCTAGAAAAAAAAAAAAAAAAAAAGGACACAATGACCAATCTAACGGTGAGGAACACCCCTAGCACCCACCCAGACTGCATCCTTGAAATACCATTACCCGCTAACAGTAACCAGGGCTCCACAGAAAAATGGTGGATTCCAGGTCTGGGGCTGAGAAATGCAATAAGATGAGCCTGGAACGTCTTATGCTAGAAATCAAGGAAACTATCAAAGATTACTAGGGTCACGTCAAAAGTACTCAACAGTCACTGTGAAGGAAATTTATTGGTCAAAGAGGGGACAATTTGAGCATTCAAAAAATTATATATGGCCGGGCGTGGTGGCTCACACCTGTAAAATCCCAGCACTTTGGGAGGCCGAGGCAGGCGGATCATTTGAGGTCAGGAATTTGAGACCAGCTTGGCCAATATGGCAAAACCCCGTCTGTACTAAAAATAATAAAAAATTAGCCGGGTGTGGTGGCAGTCACCTGTAATCCCAGGTACTCGGGAGGCTGAGGCAGGAGAATCACTTGAACCTGGGAGGCTGAGGTTGCAGTGAGCTGAGATCAAGCCACTGCCCTCCAGCCTGGGCAACAGAGTGAGATTCTGTCTCAAAAAAAAAAAGAAAAGGAAAAGATATTTAAGAGACCTATCAACTAAATGTAATGCATGGATCTTGTCTGGCACCTGATTCAAAAATACAAACTGAACAATGATAAGATGAATGGGGAAATTTAAACGGTGATATTTTAAAATTTAAAAATTTAAATTAAAAATGTAAATGGTGATATTTAAACGGTGTGATATTTTAAAATAATTTGATATTTTAAAATAATTTGTTAGGTGTGATGATGGGATGGGGATTTTTTTTAAGTCCTTATCTGTAAGAGCAGCGTCTCACCCCAGGCATTATTAATATTTGAGGCTGGATCATTCTTGGTTGCAGTGGGCTGTCCTGTTGCACTGAAAGATGTCAAGTGGCATCCCTCACCTCTACCCACTAGATGCCAGTAGCACCTCTTTCGTCAGGCCAATTAAAAATATTTCCAAACAGCCAAATATCTTCTGTGATTAAAAAAAAAAAAAACTGTGTTAGAGACATGTACTGCAGTATTTATGGTTGAAATGATACTATACCTGGGTTTTGTCAAAGTAACCCAAGAGGGTTTGGGCAGAGGTACAGGTGAAATAAGCTTAACTGTGTGTTGATAATTGCTGGGCTGCATGATGGACACATGGGTGCTCATTACATTATTCCCCGTTTATATGTTGAAAGTTCCCTGCAATAAAAGTTAAAAAATTATAGTACCAAAGGAGTATTAAAATATTTCTGTTTTCCCAAGCGTATTAACATATTGGATTAAATAAGCTATCTTTAAGTTAAAGAGTTATGAGTATAGGCTGGCGCCGCGGCTCATGCCTGTAATCCCAGCACTTTGGGAGGCCGAGGCGGGCAGATCACGAGGTCAGGAGATAGAGACCATCCTGGCCAACATGGTGAAACACCATCTCTACTAAAAATACAAAAATTAGCTGGGCGTGGTGGCGGGCATCTGTAATCCCAGCAACTCTGGAGGCTGAGGCAGGAGAATGGCTTGAACCCGGGAGGCAGACATTGCAGTGAGCCGAGATCACGCCACTGCACTCCCGCCTGGCGACAGAGCGAGACTCCATCTCAAAAAAAAAAAAAAGAAAAAAAGAGTTATAATTGGGTTACTTTAAAAGTCTTGGTAAATCCCCTTGTCTACTTCCCAAGTCCTGAGAAAGTGAATAATGTTTGCATGCATAATAAATTCTCCAAATTAGGTAATTATCTTTTTTTAACTTTTGCTTTCAACAAAGTTGGAGAACCTATTCATGTTATAACTTATTATAAATCATTGAGTCTTTTGGATTAGTTACTAAGGAGTCCTGAGAAATGTGTGACACTGCTGTAATGAAACACCCCAATGTTTCTCGGAGCTTACAGTTATAAAAATGAAAAATAGAAATAGAATTGGTCATGAGCCCCATCTCATTCTAGCAAGAATATTTGTCTACCATGTTTTT
This sequence comes from Homo sapiens, assembly GCF_000001405.40. NCBI lineage: Eukaryota > Metazoa > Chordata > Mammalia > Primates > Hominidae > Homo > Homo sapiens. Next base: position 90,505,659 of record NC_000015.10, on the reverse strand, counting down.
AAACTTTCATTTTAAAAGACTTTCATTTATCTCATCAATAAATGCATTTCATTAGATACCAATGACAAAATAAAAAAATGCATTTCAAATATCTTTTAGAATTGTCAAGATAAAATATTACATTACTGGGCCGGGTGCGGTGGCTCACACCTGTAATCACAGCACTTTGGGAGGCCGAGGTGGGCGGATCACGAGGTCAGGAGTTCGAGACCAGCCTAGCCAAGAGACCAGCCTGGCCAGTACGGTGAAACCTCATCTCTACTAAAAATACAAAAATTAGCCAGGCGTGGTGGAGGGCTCCTGTAATCCCAGCTACTCGGGTGGCTGAGGCAGGACAATTGCTTGAACCTGGGAGGCGGAGGTTGTGGTGAGCCAAGATTGTACTCCAGCCTGGGCGACAGAGCAAGACTCCAACTCAAAAAAAAAAAAAAAAAAAAAATTACTGCAATCAAATATGCACTAATAACTGTAACTATGCAAAATGTTTTTCTAGATTGGGTTAATAGGCTTATGGTCACGAAAACAAATTTTTATTTTTGTTACAGATGACCAAAAATAAGATGTCCTTTAAAATATTTCACTAGGGTAAAATTCTGAAGGAAGCAGAGTAGAGAAAAAAAACGTTAAATTTGTAAAGATTTAAAATTTCCAGGGGCAGGCATAGTGGTTCACACCTGTAATCCCAGCACTTTGGGAGGCCGAGGTGGGCGGATCACTTGAGGTCAGGAGTTTGAGACCTGCCTAACATGGTGAAATTCCGTCTCTACTAAAAACACAAAAAATTAGCCAGGTGTGGTGGCAGCCGCCTGTAGTCCCAGCTACTCAGGAGGCTGAGGCAGGAGAATCGCTTGAACCTGGGAAGTGGAGGTTGCAGTGAGCCGAGAACACGCCACTGCACTCCAGCCTGGGCGACAGAGCAAGACTTCTGTCTCAAACAAAAATAAATAAAATAAAATAAAAAAGAAATAAAAAAGAAATTTCCAACTAAGAGCTTTGTTCATGTACCTTTAAAAATGAATGAAGGTGGGTTCCATTCGATATTTTTATGGTCATTTTTATATTAAAATTCACATGCTAGCAGGTACTCTTGATTTAAACATTAAAAATGTATTTGTCAAACTTAAAATGTGTGAAGGGATGTATACGTTTTCCCAAATTATTTTCAGGGATACACAGGCAAAAGAATGAGCAGCAGGGCTGTGACAACCCCGTCTCCCTCCCCGTTGGTGCAGTGGCACCACCAGCAGCAGCTGGGACTCCATGGCATTCACTCTGCCATTGCTCTGGGTTCCATCTTACTTTCCTACTTTTTTTTCTTTTTGTTTTTTGTGAGACAGGGTGTTGCTGTTACTCAGGATGGAGTGCAGTGGTGCAATCATGGCTTACCACAAGCCTCAACCTCCTAGGCTCAAGCAATCCTTCCGCCTCAGCCTCTTAAGTAGTTGGGACTACAGGTGCGCACCACCACGCGGGCTAATTTTTGTATCTTTGGTAGAAACAGGGTTTCAACATGTTGGCCAGGCTTGTCTCCAACTTCTGATCTCAAGCGATCCACCCGCCTTGGCTTCCCAAAGCGCTGGGATTACAGGTGTGAGCCACCACGTCCAGCCCCTACTCTGATTTTCCCTCTTATTTTTCTTATTTAATGTTGCTATACCTTGATAAGCTTTTTTTTTTTGAGATGGAGTCTCGCTCTGTTGCCCAGGTTGGAGTGCAGTGGCACGATCTCAGCTTACTGCAAGCTCCACCTCCCGGGTTCATGCCATTCTTCTGCCTCAGCCTCCTGAGTAGCTGCGACTACAGGCACCCATTACCAAGCCCAGCTGATTTTTTGCATTTTTAGTAGAGATGGGGTTTCACCGTGTTACCCAGGATGGTCTCGATCTCTTGACCTCGTGATCTCCCTGCCTCGGCCTCCCAAAGTGCTGGGATTACAGGTGTGAGCCACCGTGCCCGGCCGATAAGCACTTTTCTTTTTTTTTTTTTTTTTTGAGACAGAGTCTCGCTCTGTCCCCCAGGCTGGAGTGCAGTGGCATGATCTCGGCTCACTGCAGCCTCTGTCTCCCAGGTTCAAGCGATTCTCCTGCCTCATTCTCCTGAGTAGCTGGGACTACAGGCATGCGCCACCACGCCCAGCTAATTTTTTTTGTAGTTTTTAGTAGAGACAGGGTTTCACCATCTTGGCCAGGATGGTCTCGATCTCCAGACCTTGTGATCCACCCGCCTTGGCCTCCCAAAGTGCTGGGATTACAGGCATGAGCCACTGCACCCAGTCCTGATAAGCACTTTTCTAACTCCCTTGATTTCTTTGCAGGACAATATAGAGCATATTATTAAAATATTTCAGGTTTCAATAACAAAGCTACCAGACAGCATCCTTTCCATTTCAGAACGAGAAACCTGGGGCTCAGAAGGGTACCTTCCAGAGTCCCACCAGGAGAGCCATGCTCTTCCCCTCACTCTTCCTCAGAGGAGCATGCGGTCATCTCCAACCACTCGTACAAACCATCACCTCCAATTTTTCATTTTCCCTATTTTAGAATTATTCCGTTTCCCCCCTTATTTCAACCTGTCACTAATTTTCCAATATAGTCTGGCCACAGTTTACCAACACAACAGGATGCTTATGTACATGTTTGTATTTTTAAGTAAGGCTGCCCTCTGACAAGGAAGCCTTTTCTTTTCTTTTTGAGATGGAGTCTCGCTCTGTCTCCCAGGCTGGACAGCAGTGGTGTGATCTTGGCTCACTGCAACCTCCGCCTCCAGCTTCAAGTGATTCTCCTACCTCAGCCTCCTGAGTAGCTGGGATTACAGGCGTGTGCCACCACACCCAGCTAATTTTTGTATTTTTAGTAGGGGTTTCGTCATGTTGGCCAGGCTGGTCTTAAAACTCCTGATCTCAGGTGATCCGGCCCGCCTCGGCCTCCTAAAGTGTTGGGATTACAGGTGTGAGCCACTACGCCAGCCCCTTTTCTTCTTTTTTTACTGCTGTGATTTACTTTTTCCACATTCAACATCCCCTAGTCTTTTCTGGTGACTTCCAAGTGACATAGGAACCCCCTAAGGGGCACAGTCTATGTGCTCAACAACAGTATGCTGGTCAAAAAAGGTTAAATGCTGTTGCAATTTTAAACTTTCCACCGTTCGTCAATCAGAATTAAGTGACATATAATGTTTGCTTCCCGCAACACCCTTCTTTTTATGGTGAAGATAACTTAAGCATATTCATTAAAAAGGCTAAAGTCACACGTTCACACATTAAAAGTCACTTTGAGACATTCAATGATCTGATGGTGGACTTACGTTTTCTCCTTTAAAAGGAAGGGGTTGTCTGCTGTTGTGATTTTAACTGATACATCTCACTCTAGTCAAGGTGTTTAGCAGGAACTGTTAACAATGAAACTGAGAAAAACACAAACATGAACAAATGACCTTTTATTTCATACAGAGATACAAAGGCAACTATGTGCAGCAACAATCTGACGGGCAGTCCAAACTCTTGGGAGGAAGTAAATTCATGGTAAATGTCATGATGGCTGGTCGAGGAGAAGGTCAAAGGAGGAGAGAGAGGAGACAGAGAATGCTACAGCTAATAAATAACAGTAATGAGAACTGTGTGGTTTCAACGCCATGAGTTTGTTGGGGCATCCTCTGTGCTACTAAAGCCACAATTCTATATCATCATCATCAACATTCTTGAAGCGCATTTTACACTATTCTGCATTAGCAATTGTGTTGAGGGAACTATAAACCTTAAAATTACTGACACATTTTATTAAAGGAGCTGTAAACTCTGCTCATTATTGCCTGTCTTGGATGTGGCCTTTGGGATTCATAGCCTCTTTTAAGGAAACAGGGTTGACACACTTTGGTTGGTCCCAGTTTTTGAGGCAATGCTAGTTGTAATAGCATCATCTTTTAATCTGAGGAAAATGTTTCTTTAAAAAACCTGTCTTCCAAAATACAACAAAAAACAAGGTCTGGGTAGTGGCGAATCCTTCCATGGCACTCCATGCCTCCCTGTGGGCTGTAACCATGCACCTGAGTAAAGAGTCTCATAAAAATACTTCTCCAATGCATTTATAATAGGGACACACTACATAGTTTGTTATTCATTAAAGCAGTTTATTGGCTTAATGTACATCAGTGAATTTTTAAATGCTAAAAATTTATGATAAAAGAATACTGAATCAAAACATCAAAGAAAGAAAATAGAGGCTCAGCAGCATGATTTCAATATATTTTCCTGGAAAAAGTTTTTTTTTTTTTTAAAGTGTATGACTTTTTATCCAAGAACAAAAGCTTTCTAAATGCAATGTTTAGACTTGATTTTTTTTTTAAACTAAGCCCAGAAAACTGGGGCTCATAAAATAAAGGCACAATGTGGGCAGCAAGAGAAAAAAGGAGAAAAAATGGGGAAAAAATTGGTTTTAATCTCACGTGTAACATAGGTTGGCTGGTTTTGTTTTTGTTTTAGACAATTAAAGGCAGAATTATCTCCCTGAACACTGCAGATAAATCCTAGTGTTTTAGCTATAAGTTTCAAGAGTTCAGATATACAGATAAAGCAATTTAAAAAAAGCTTTTCTTATTCTAAGGCTTTTGATGCATTATATAAATCTTTAAAATTCCTATCACCCACATTTTAAGACATACATCTATACTTTAATAAGGCACTCTTAAGATATAAAACAGTTTTAAAAACAATGACATTCTACATTAGGGCTAACCCATTCCTCTGCCATAGGGATGGAGTGAATTGTCTCTCTGAATCAAGTCAATCTCTGTGCACCAACAAAAACAGGCAGGTGCCTTGACCCATTCTGAATTTATCTGAGTAGCTGAATTTTAGCAATGGGACTCTCCCATCCACTAGTCGGGGAGTTACACAAACAGAATTGCCCAAGTTTGATAATGAAATTTAAAAACATTATCTCCTTTTTTCTAGAAATGCTTCCTTTGAACATGACTGTCACTTCCATTAGCTCCTGTCCATAAAGAAAAACACAATGGAAGATAACCAATGATTCCCCATATCCTTCAGTTTTCCTGATGGGACAGAAATATAAAGGAACTTTATTTTTAAATGACAACCTAATAACTGTTAATAACATGACATTTTAGTTGTGTGTCTTGTATGTATTTATGTCATTGGTGCTAATAGCTTCCACTTCTAAATGACACACATTTGAATCCTACCATCCCTATTGCTAATTAAACAAACACCAAAGCTTACAATATAGTACTGCAACCTCTAAGACTGTAACAACACAGAGAAATTTTAGTGGAGTTTCCACTCTTTCCTAAGTAATGGAAGAAAATGAAGAAACCAGAAAGGTCAGACTAAGCCTGAAACACAATTTCACTATGAAAAAAGGGTAACAAATGTCCCATCAGAGCGAGAGGAGTTAAAAATGTGGCATCGGGAGTGTATCAGATTGAGGTGCTGTTGTTGGCTAGGTCTTTGCTTCCAATGAGGAAAGAAGGACCTAGAAAGGAGCTGTGAGGTGCTTCTTTCCTTCATCCTTCTGGGCTGGCAGCAAACGATCAATTACTTCCCGTAGAACTTTTTGTTGAGAAGGAAGATCAGGAGGTTGACATTTACTTTAGCTCTATCAAATAATTTCATGACTGCAACTCCTTCATACTGTAGCTGCAGCAGGTCCTATTAACAAAACAAAACAAAACAAAACAAAACATTTTGACAGTTAATCAAGTCTGTGGAACAAGGAAAAAGGACACAATGTAGGGAGGGATCCAGATGGACTGAGGCCTGCCTTGTGTGCCAGATGTGAACTGGGGCGAAAGAAAAGTTCCACGCTAGGCAACTACCCACTGCACAACCAGCCTGAGAGCTGGAGCAATAGGGCACATTGGCCAAGGGAGGCTTCTGGTTGATTTGGAGTTAGGAAGTCATGTTGTTCATATCAAAATTCATCATACATGGAAAGAAAAAGAAACATGTTCAATTGCCACACACATCTAAGCTTTTTATTTCAGAAGTCACAATGACATTTTCCCATTTCATCCATGTTATGGGTCACTAGTTTTAATAAATCTGGAAAAGGTGAAGCATTTAAACCTATGATGAAATATACTAAGCACGGGGAAATGAGATAAGGCTAGTAATGTCACCTTAATACTATCTGATAGATTCTTAATTTCTATTCCATATGAGAACACTTTCTATCCCGAAGGCAAGGGGAAAAGAGAGAACTTGATGTTTTATTAGGTGTCTGCCATGTGCTTGGCATTGTGTAAGCACATTACATAGTATCTTTTAAAGTCCTCACAAAAATTTTTATGAGGTGCGATTATTCTAACTTTAAAGATGAGCTACTGAGACTCAGAGATGTTAAATGACTTGCACAACAGGACAGAGATGGAGGCGATAAATCCAGATCTGACTGCAATGCTCCCGCTTTTCCTGCTACTTTCACCATTGTCCTGAACAAGTTTAAGAAATCTGAGTGGTCTCACTTCTGAACTTTATAAGAGTGGTGATGAGAAAGCAAGGGTCAAAAGTCTTGAAAGGACCCCACAAGGCCGGGTGTGGTGGCTCACGCCTGTCATCCCAGCACTTTGGGAGGCCGAGGCAGGCGGATCACGAAGTCACGAGTTAGAGACCAGCCTGGCCAACATGGCGAAACCCTGTTTCTACTAAAAATACAAAAATTAGCTGGGCGTTGGGGCGTGGTGGTGCACGCCTATATTCTCAGCTACTCAGGAGGCTGAGGCAGGAGAATCACTTGAACCCAGGAGGCGGAGGTTGCAGTGAGCCGAGATTGTGCCATTGCACTGCAGCTTGGGCAATAAGAGCGAAACTGTCTCAAAAAAAAAAAAAATTAGCCGGGCGTGATGGTGTGCGCCTGTAATCCCAGCCACTCAGGAGGCTGAGGCAGGAGAATCACTTGAACCCACGAGGTGGAGGTTGCAGTGAATGGAGAACACGCCACTACACTCCAGTCTGGGAGACAGGGCGAGACTCTGCCCCCCCCTCCAAAAAAAGAAAGGACCCCACAAGTTCAATTATCTGTTGGAAAAATCCTAGCAGCTCCATGAGGGCTGCTGGGACCTGTGCCTAACAGAATACCCCACACCTGGCAGTTACCCCACATTTAATGAATTTGTACATAAATTAATAAATTACCACAGGCAGACTGGTTGGCCTAACATGATTTGGTTAAAAAATTTAAAAATAAAAATATGTTCTGATAACTCCACGTAAATAAAAAATTTTAAATTAAAAAAATAATTTGGTGAAACTGAGGGAATAAGAGGTTCCTATTCTTTTTTTTTTTTTGGTGGAAGTACTTTAGTTAGCTGTGTGCATCACAAAATCATTTCACATTTGTTTAGCTAACATGTTTTAATGGTCTACTGGTCATTGAGAAGGAAACGAAGATGACTAAGAAATGCTACCTGTCCTTAAGGAGTTTATGGCTTTAGCGGGGAGAGGGGAAGTAAGTCAACACCTACTGTAAACAGAGGATGTCTGCAAGGGCTACAGAAGCGAAGGGGAAACCACCTATTATGGCTTGGCTGGGGGAGGCACACCCATGGAAGTACTCCATGGAGGAACAAAAGGGGCGGGGTTGGGAGGCAGGGGAGGGGAGGGAGGGCAGCATGAGCAGAAGCCCAAATGTACATTGACAGGAAGGCACCTGCCCGGGCTGGCAGGGCATGGCTGTGTGAAGCAGTGCAAGAAAGGAGAGAGAAGCAGACTAACCGGTGCCACACACACAAAGCTAAAGGAGTCTGGATGTCACCTAGGAATCCTCTCGATGCCCTGTTATTTTTTAACGTGTAAAAATCAGATATTTCAAAATAAAACTTAGGGATCTTTATGCTACAAAAATGAATTACTCCCGAGTTCTTTTTGGATTTAAGATAGAATTCAGTTTACAAACATAAACTTTACACACACCTTGTCAGAATGTATCTAACTTTTAAGTACCTATATCAAATCAAAATGACAAAAAGATTTCAAGCTACTGAGTGGGCTTAGAATTCTGCAGTGTCAGCATGTGTACTTCTGCATTTTGTTCAAGTCCAAGGTGTCAGCTCGATTTAGTGGCAGCACTAAGTGGAAGCTTCAGCTAAATGTTTTCTGAAGAGTGACATCTGCAAAAGCTCTCCAGAGCGCACACACCAAACCAGACATGCTGAAACCCTCAGCTTCTTTCCCCGCAGTGTGGAGCCTAGCTCACTGCTGAATGTAGACAGCTTTCCTCAGATGAGTCTCCTCTTTATCTATTTCTCCTACTTGGACAAGAATCTCATCCAGAAAGTTTTTGGTTCCTGCTGGTGCATACCCACCTGATAATGTAACATAAAAGTCTCCATTTGAACTCCCATGAATTTGGCTTTCACTTCGAAGTCTCCAACTTCTTCTGTTGGACTGATTTCAAATATAACATTTTTAAACCTGTTGAAAGATAACATCGTAAGGGTATGGTTTTTATATTCTCATATAAAAATATTCTGTGAAATGGGGAAAGGAGATGAACCAAGTCTTCAAGAGTGAAAAGGGCTGCAGAAAATACAGGTCAAAAGTACTTCTGCAGCTGAAGCAGCACAGATTGCCAAGCCCAAGTACCATCTGCTCTGGGACTTGGAGAGAGGAATGGCAACCTCTCTCTGCCTGCAGCACTTACATCCTATCAAAGAGGAACCACTGAGGAGTTCCACAAGTGGCGTGTGAAGGGATGACATCATAGGAATTCTCTTCACTTCCACATGGCCAAAAAGGAAACCTAATGATAAAAGGAGAAAACGGAGGACACTGGGGAAGGAGAGGGTGTATGTGTTTGAATACATGCATGTTTGAGGACTGGGAGAAGTAAATAAACAAAAGGGGGTCCGTATAAAAAGCACCAAGGGAGGAGGTTTTCTAGAAAGAGTAGGTGCTGTGTATATAAGCACACTCAGTATTACCAAAGATAAATTGTTATTATTGAACGTATTTAAGTTATCACTCATTCACAATATGTTACGTGCCAGGAAATTTTGGGGGGCCAAAAGGAAAAGGTATTATGCAGCCGGGCACAGTGGCTCACATCTGTAATCCCAGCACTTTGGGAGACCGAGGCGGGCGGATCACGAGGTCAGATCGAGGCCATCCTGGCCAACATGGTGAAACCCTATCTCTATTAAAAATACAAAAATTAGCTGGGCATAGTGGCATGCACCTGCAGTCCCAGCTACTCAGAAGGCTGAGGCAGGAGAATTGATTGAACCCGGGAGGCAGAGGTTGTAGTGAGCTGAGTACCATACCCTATCACCACTGCAGTCCAGTCTGGTGATAGGGCGAGACTCCGTCTCAAAAAAAAAAAAAAAAAAAAAAAAAAAAAGGGATTATGCTGTTCTCTGGATGATCAAAGTATAGCACCCCAGATTTCCAGAACTCAACTATGGAGCTGCCTTACCTATTACGAACAGGGCTGAGAACCATGAAAGATGCAAAAAGGTCACTGAGAGTTAAAGAAGTCACAAAAACCCATGCACTGAAACACACATGCATCTTATTCAACTGGAACGCCTCACGGGTTATTCCTTAAACATATTTATCTTAAGTGATAAATAATTTTACCAGATTTAGTTGGCTATTTAGTTTCTAAGCCCATAGGAGCAAATTAAAAAGAAGACAGAAAGGCAAATAGAGGTAGGCACTTGAACAGTAGTGGAAGATAATGACCTATAATAATAAATAATAATAATAATAATAATAATAACATAATAATAAAGGCCTGTAATCCCAAAGGAGGCTGAGGTGGGTGAATCACATGAGGTCAGGAGTTTGAGATTAGCCTGGCCAACATGGTGAAACCCCATCTCTACTAAAAATACAAAAACTTAGCTGGGTGTGGTGGTGCATGCCTGTAGTCCCACCTAATTGGGAGGCTGAGGTGGGAGAATTGCTTGAACCTGGGAGGCCAAGGCTGCAGTGAGCTGAGATCGCGCCACTGTACTCTTGGGTGACAGAGAGACTCCGTGAAAAAAAAAAAAGAAGAAGAAAAAGAAGAAGAAGAAAAAAATATATATATATGTATTTATATATAAAGTAGTTAAATACATAAGTGGGTGAGTCGTGTATAATCTTTATGTGAATAGAAAAAAATACATTAAAACGATTTCAGTGGTTATCTCTGGCTTGTGGAATTACAGGTGTTTTCTTTTTTATGCTTTACTGTATTTTCAAAGTTTAATAACGAATACATATTATTTTAGAATTAGAAAAATGTAAAAGGTTCTTTTTTTAAAAGTTGTTTTTTTTCCCCCCCTAAACAGACAAAAGAAGAGAAAGATCAGTAGCCTGAGGTCACAGGGCTGACTGAGCAGATGCTCAATAAATGCTTGCTAATGACGCTGGGCCCAGGACCTGTGGGAGGATGACATGTCAGGTCCATGAACCACGTGCAAAGCAAGCTGATACTTCCCAGAAAAGCAAATGAAGATAAGTGCCTGGTTCCTAGCTATAAGTGGAATAAAGCAAACTCCTCTTATTGTTACTCTTAATTTATTCTTGGTTCAGAAACAGAAGAAATCCAAGGAATGGCTTCCTGCTTTAATGAGGAAAAATTAAGATCAGACCCAAATAAGTGAACATGACCTGAGACAAATGTTCTACAAACAAGGAAAAGAAAAACTCTTTTATGACAAATTAACTCTGAGTATGAGGCCTAATTCTACACATAAAAATATATAAATACATAAAAAATACTAAAAGTAACCATCCAGAAAAGAGAAATGAAGACAAAAAGGCAAAGATGTGATAAATGTAGAAATAAAAATCAACTTATAAAACAAAAAGCAAAGACTCACTGATTCACTTGCAGGTCCTCAATTTCCAGAAGAACTCCTTTTTCATGTAGTCTTGCTGCTGTATATTTCAGAGAAATCTTTTTGCTTTTCTTTCCTTTCATTTCCCTAGGCTTTTTGGAGACTCTGTAAAAATCACATCATGTCACTTTCTATAAGTAACCATCTACTCTGAATCTTCATCATTGGTAACTGAAGGAAACATGTCAGAAACCAAACTTCCAGACATAAGCATAAGTAACATACCAACTCTAAAATGGCAAACAAATGTTAGAATTAGCCTAAGCAATATCTCTGCAAAACAGGGGAAATATTACTAAATTGCTTCTATTTTTAGTTTAAATTATATTTGAGAACACTCCCATGAATTTAACAGTGTCTTAATCCTCCCATGTCCTTCTGGGAACTTAAGTACCTAACAAGTAACTAGGAGAGCTTCGTATGCCAGCTGAGGGAATGGTACTGAATCCCAGGAGTGAAGGAGTTACTCTACGCCCCTCAGCTGTGTAGGGAAAAAATTAAAATGTCATCAAATACTTTTTAAAAGCGTTTAAGCCAGCACAGCAATTACAGATGAATGAAAATAAGGAAAAAGAAACAGGTTAGGAGGCTATTAGGATAATCAAGGCAAGAAGTGCTAACTTCAGAAATATGCCCACATTTGCAAAATGACATATGTACAAGAGGTTATTTGCTGCAGAATTTAAAAAATAATAACAAACAACTGGAAACAACTTAAATGTCCATCAATGGAGAACTGCTGAAGTCAACTGTTATATCTATCTGCATAATGGAATAATATGCAGCATTAAAAAAAAATGAGAATCTAGGTCTGTCTGCTTAGAAGGCCTGGAGGCCATGACAAATCTGGCAGTGAACACACCTAGTTCTAGATCTTGGTTTCTAAATACCATTCTTCATTCAAAGAAACCAGGCATGCTTGGAGAAACAGTTCATTCTGGCCCTGGGGAGGGGAAACTACAGGTTGAACATGAAACATCTTGTGTCAGAAAGTCAGGAAGTGCACAAGGAACAATGAAAACACATCAAAAGCTCACAGGAGTCAGATCTGCAAGCAGGGTTAGGTGGGCCTGTTTTTCATCCCTTCCATCACCCATGCCTGACCCCAGAGAGTCTTCCATGGAAAGAGAGAAACAGAGGACATGCAAGAGCCAGGGAAATGGGAAGCAGATATGGCAAAATATTAAAAATGGGTGAATCTAGGTGAAGGGCACATGGGTGCTTATTGTTCTATTCATTCGATCTGAGATTTGAAAACTCTTAAAATAAAAAGTTAGGAATAAATAATAAACTACCCTGCAAGTAAAACCTGCTCTTATCACCCACCTCTCTGGGTTTTCAATTCCCTCCCTGTAACATGGGCATGCTGATAGTTTGTGGCCAGTGCCAAGAAGGCTGGATCAGACTTTCCTCAGCACCCAGGAAAAAAAATCAGAGCCTGTGATCTTGTCCCCAGGAAGTATAGAGAGGAGCAAGGGGACCCAAATTTGTATAATATTCCTTAAGTGATTCTGGGACCAGCAGATGATCTCCTTTCATGATTTTAATTTCTAAGGCCAAGAAGATTTTTTTTTTTTTCCAGAGTCTTGTTCTGTCGCCCAGGCTGGAGTGTAGTGATGCAATCGTGGCTCACTGCAACCTCCATCTCCCAGGTTCAGGTAATTCTCCTGCCTCAGCCTCCCAAGTAGCTGGGACTATAGGTGCGTGCCACCACACCCAGCTAATTTGTATATTTTTAGTAGAGATGGGGTATCACCATGTTGACCAGGCTGGTCTTGAACTCCTGACATCAAGTGACACACCCGCCTCGGCCTCCCAAAGTGCTGGGATGATAGGTGTGAGCCACCTTGACAGGCCCCAAGAAGATATTTTGCAAAAGGAATACTTAGCGATAAGCATCCATGAAATCCCCCACCCACTATTCACATCATACACTTACAAATGGAATTAGGCAATTACACAAATGATTAGAGGTAAAATAAAAGACTAATGCAATAAATAGATCCAGTGTATTTTAAGTAAAAATTTCCAGTGTCATTTCAGTTGCCTCTGCTTTTTCCTCACTCTAATTCTGACATTGATTCTTTAAAAAGAAAAAATACTCACTTGCCCTTGCTGGCTAAGTTATCCAAGCAGGTTTTGATATAGCTTTTATAGTAATCCACCTGCTCCCCATAAAAGGTGGCCTTAGAGTTCAGAGCAGCGTATGTCTGTTGCAGTTTCACTAGTTCGGCCTTTCTCCTCTGTCGGTACCTCCGCTGATTCCGAATATCCTGAGACATAATTATTAAAGTTAGAAAAATAACGACAGTTATCATTATCATTTCACACTACAACCCAGCAATGCTTAACTCTGCCTTAAATATGACTACCTACTTTTTTTTTTTTTTTTTTTTTTAGACACTCTGTTGCCCAGGCTCGAGTGTGCAGTGGTTGACGGCTTCCTGTAGCCTCAGCCTCCCAGGCTAAAATGATCCTCCCACCTCAGCCTCCAGAGTAGCCAGGACTTACAGGCACATGCCACCACATCTGGCTAATTAAAAAACTTTTTTTTGTAGAGATGGGGTCTCAAGCGATCCTCCTGCCTTGGTCTCAGAAAGTGCTGAGATTCCAGATGTGAGCCACGGTGCCTGACCTAACCATACATTCAACAGGCAGTAATTTGTTTTCACAAATTAACAGAGAAATTCAGATCTCAAATTTTCTTCCCCCATTTGTATCTTCTAGCAGGGAAATGTGTTACATTTAGACTTACACATTTTTAGAATTTACTTGCAAAGCTGGTTTGGACCTCTTAAATATTTTGTTGGGAAAGGGAGAAAAAGAGAACTATAATACATCAACTACCAGTTCTCAGGTGTGCATAATATTATCTTAGTGCAACAGCACAGAACACCTAAACTCTTAGTCCTCACCAAAGCCCCTCGCTTGAGATGATTCATACAAATCAACGATTTAATCAGCTTGATGTGAATTTATATTTCACAGTAATCATGAAAAAGATCTGGAAGAATTCTTTAAGGCTGAAGACAAATTCTTTAAGGTCATAGGAGGCTCCAGTTAAGGTCCTCTCCCTAGTAATTTAGGCCATGGAATAAGCCACCTCAGGTCGGGCAAGGCCCTCATGCTGGAGAGTCAGATATGGTTTCTCATAGAGGAGGGCACTAATTTGCCCATGAACTGAAGCTATGCTGTTATGTGAACAGCTACTGTCTCTCGAGCCTCTCAGCTTTGAACAAGGCCGGGTCCCCTCTGTCCCCCGAATGCAGTACCCTGGCAATGTCGTTGATCAGTTCCTGGTATTTGTTCTTTGGGTCCACGGTTCCAAGCTCTGTTAGCTTCTTTAAACCTGTCTGGATCTTCTCTTTCTTCTCTTGAAGAGTGAGGTTGCTGTCTTCCTTTACAGATTTTGACTTTTTCATCTTGTCAGGTGTTTTGGCATCACGGATAGCACGTCTCTGCATGGCTCTCTGATGTTCTGCTTCCTACGGATGGGAAAAAGAAGTTCTTAGCAAGTTTACCACACTAATCCTAAACTTGAATTTATATAGCACATTTGCACCTGAACTTATACAGTTCTTAAACTCCAACCTTGAAACAGAAGGAAACAAATTCTGCCCCCTGCCAAATGATAGATGAAAAATTGCATGAAGCAGAGGCACATCTCTTTCCACCTAGAAGAGATGATATCTACAAAATCACACAACTGGGCTAGGCGCGGTGGCTCATGCCTGTAATCCCAGCACTTTGGGAGGCCAAGGTAGGCGGATCATGAGGTCAGGAGTTCAAGACCATCCTGACTAACACGGTGAAACCGTCTCTACTAAAAGTACAAAAACAAAATTAGCCGAGCATGGGGCGAGTGCCTGTAGTCCCAGCTACTCAGGAGGCTGAGGCAGGAGAATGGCGTGAACCCAGGAGGTGGAGCTTGCAGTGAGCCAAGATCGCGCCACTGCACTCCAGTCTGGGCGACAGAGCGAGACTCCGTCTCAAAAAAACAAAAAACAAGCAAACAAACAAATCACACAACTGCTTAGGTGCTTAGGGCTTCTTTCCTGGACTCCAGGTACAATCACCGAGACTGGACTCTACTGGCTACAAAGTCATTTTTCTCTACCACATTTTGAGACATGGAAGCCATTTAATTTTATTAAAAACATAGCTGTATAAATGTTATAACTATACTAATACAACAAGACCAGTGCTTAGTAAATCCTTGCTAATTCTTTGTGTCACTTTGTCACAAGGTGGAATCATGCTCGAGCCTTGCCTCTGCTTTCAAACATTCTGCAGACACCACAATCTAACAGGGAAACACCTTCCCTTGATACTGCCATCCTTCATAGTCGCCATCCTTCATAGTCACCGTCCATTGTCTGTCCCTGTCCAACATATGATCTACACTCACTGTTTCGTTCTTTCAGCACTTTCTTCTTTACTGCTCTTATCACCAATTACCATTCCCCTGTCCAAAATCCAAAGCCTTTTCTGTCACCTTGCTCATCTTCTCTGCACTGTCTTCTTGCTCTATGCATGGTTTGGTACTTCTATGTGATCTGTGACCATTTCTCTCTGTTTACTCTCAATACTTCATTGACTGCCTCTGTGTTGACAGATCCTAAATCTTTGTGACCATGGCTCTGGTGCCATATTCTGAGCTGTTTGTACTGGGATGTTTACATTCGGGATGGCTCATAGTTCAAACTTGTAATTCCCCCTAACTGGAGCAATTCCCTTTCCCAATAGTCCCCTTTTTTCTAATGTCAAGACTACTCTGCATCACATAATGTAAACAGCATAAGCTTTGGAGGCAGACAGAACTGGATCCACCTCCGGTTCTGTCACTGCAAGCTGATGATCTTAGCCAGTTAACCTGTAAGGGTCTTGGTTTCCTCATCTGCAAAATAAGGATGAAAAGACTCGACTCATGGGAATATTGTAAGGATTAAATTAAAGAACAGAGGTGAGAGCACCAAACACATACTAGGTTCTCAATAAAGACTGGCTCCTCCTTCCTTATTTCAAATTTCTTTCTAGGTTCAACATGTTTCAAGTATTGGTTTACATGTCCTTACTTGCCTTTCACACATATCTAATCAGTAATCAGTCATAGCAACTGACAGCTGAGACTTCATTGAAAACAATGGTTTCCAAATAGTTCTCTGTGCAGCCTCAAGAGTTTGCCAGAGGCATCACAGAGTCCTATAGGGCTGGATTTCAGATGCCCTATTGCTGGCTATCAGAGTAGCTCCAGAGTAGCAGAGTACCTGCTCTATATACTGGGCTTTTAGCTAAGTTGTCATTTAATGAAACAGATTACCATGCTTAAAATTTGAGAATGAATGACTTGACCTACTTTCCTTACTTGACAAATGAGAACAGAGGTCTATGGCCGGGTGCAGTGGCTCACACCTGTAATCCCAGCACTTTGAGAGGCCACAGTGGGTGGGTCATTTGAGGTCAAGAGTTTGAGACCAGCCTGGCCAACATCGTGAAATCCTGTCTCTACTAAAAATACAAAAATTAGCCAGGTGTGGTGGTTCACACCTGTAGTCCAGCTACTCGGGAGGCTGAGGCAGGAGAATCGCTTGAACCCAGGAGGCGGAGGTTGCAGTGAGCCAAGATCACGCCACTGCAGTCCAGCCTGAGTGAGAGTGAGACTCTGTCTCAAATTAAAAAAAAAAAAAAAAAAGAAACAAGGGTCTTAGATATGACATGACTCATCCAACCCTACAAAATGCCAGGACCCAACCATCTGCCCACCCCACTGGACCTTATCACACACCTATATGACTCAACTACATCTGCTCTAATAGCACTGCTGAATTAATTAACTTTTATTAAATGGTCTTCAACCTTACAGAGGCTCTTTATTCCTTATCTCTGCAGTGACAAATTCCCATCTAGTTTGTGAGTTCTAAATAATTTGGTCTCATGTTTTATTTCTCACTACTCACCTCCACCCACAGCTCCATTCTAGACATGTAGTCTAGTCGCATCATGCTCTTCCCTCCTTTGTACCTTTGTTCACATCGCTCTCCTGCCTCGAATGCCCTCTCTTGTCTTACATGCACACCCAAATCCTTTCCACCTTTATACATCTGGCTCCGGTTCCACTTCTTTTAGGAAGCTTCCTAATGCACTGCTTCACTGGCCTCTTTCCTGAAACTTCTCTTATTTTTCAGTCAGTAACATAGTTAATTTTGAAACAGTTCATCACTGTTTCAGGTATATATGTCACATTTCCCCAACAAGACCATGGGTTCACTGAGTTTAGGAGCCACATTCTGTACTTTTCTTCTATCTACCAAGGCATGTAACAGAATTCAAAATATATAATATTCAATAAATTGCAGTGAACCCTACACATTCATGGTTTCAACCAACCCTGAAACTGTTTGAAAAAAAAATACAACAATACAAAATAATACAAATTTTAAAAATACAGTAACAACTATTTACACAGCATTTATATTGTAGTAGGTATTATAAGTAGTCTAGAGATGATTTAAAGTATATGGGAGAACGTAAGTATATGCAAATACTACAACATTTTATTTATTTATTTATTTATTTATTTATTTATTATTATTTTTTGAGACGGAGTCTCGCTCTGTCGCCCAGGCTGGAGTGCAGTGGTGCGATCTTGGCTCAATGCAGGCTCCGCCTCCTGGGTACATGCCATTCTCCTGCCTCAGCCTCCCAAGTAGCTGGGACTACAGGCATCTACCACCTAGCCTGGCTAATTTTTTGTATTTTTAGTAGAGACGGGGTTTCACGTGTTAGCCAGGATGGTCACAATCTCCTGACCTCGTGAACTACCCACCTCAGCCTCCCAAAGTGCTGGGATTACAGGCATGAGCCACCATGCCCGGCCAAATACTACACCATTTTATATAAGGGACTTCAACATCTATGGATTTTGGTATTGGCCGGGGGTGGGGAGAATGGGTGCTGGAAAGAATCGCCTGTGGATACCAAGGGATGGATATACGGGATGGGCACAATGATTCTGCATGCAAGTGCCAGTGAGCTTCCTGTCCAAAGGACATCACCTGGACTCAGGAAGCAAAAACTTTCTCAGACGAGCCATAACTACCACTGTCCCCCAGTTACATTCATGCTCACCCCTAGGCTACCAACTGTTATTTGTGTCTCCCCTCCTTTCTCTGACATGCGCCTATCGGGAGAGCTTATCTACCAAACAAAGGAGTATGTTAGACCCTAAATTTTACCTGTTCACTGGTGGC
The DNA here is from genome assembly GCF_000001405.40 of Homo sapiens. Lineage (NCBI taxonomy): Eukaryota > Metazoa > Chordata > Mammalia > Primates > Hominidae > Homo > Homo sapiens. The sequence goes on along the minus strand of NC_000015.10, from coordinate 90,487,567 downwards.
TGGTGTTTCTAGGATTTCAGTCAAGGTCTCTCCTGGCTGGAACCGGATGACATCCACAATTAAACGTTTTGTACTGAAACGAGATGGGGGAGGCATTTAAATATTACCAGTGTTCTAGTTCCTCTCAAGTGGACCGAAGCAGCAGCAGCAGCAGCAGCACAAACAGTACCTCACAGAAGTCCCAAGCGGCAGCTGCCAGTACACAGTACTCAAGGCACAAGGCTTATTTACCCAGCCATTCCATAAGTAGGTACGAGGGTTAGGATTTCCAAGATTTACATTTCACTGTAGCATATTAGCAAAATAAGGCAGATAAGTCCTGTACCAAGTACAATATGCGAGGTGATTGGTGACTGGGATTATGACAAGTACGAGAGGTCAGGATGGTCATTTCAGGTAGGACCCAGCAGGTTCCTCTCCAAAGGCCAAGAAACCTTCAGATTACATTCATTTCATTCTTCCTTCTTTTGATACTCACTTCAGTAAGATGGTTCGAGCATCCATTTCTGCATTCTCATCTCCAGGCACGTCGAACTTGTTGGTCAGGGTGAGAGACACTTCCGTCTTAGCCAGTGCCTCCTTATTTGGGTCATTTAAATTGCCAGAGCTTTCCCCTGAAGTTTTGGGAGGGTGGAAAGAGTCAGCGTAATAAAGAGAGGAGATATTGGGGGGAAATAATACAAATATAAGATGATGCAAGTCTAAGATAATACTTGAATCACCTAACACATACAGTGTGACGAGAACAACTTTTACTGAGAAATAAAATGTTATGCCAAATGATAAAGGCAAGGGATCCATAATAACTCCATAAATGTTTGAGAAATCATTTCAACACTACAATATCACAATTCTCTCTGAAAACATTCTTTCTGGCTGGGTGCAGTGGCTCAGTCCTGCAATCCCAGCACTTTGGAAGGCTAAAGGAGGAGGATGGCTTGAGGCCAGGAGTTCGAGACCAGCCTGGGCAACATAGTGAGACTCCATCTCTATTAAAAAAAAAAAAAACAACTCAGGAGGATCACTTGAGCCTAGGAATTTGAGGCTGCAGTGAGCTATGACTGCACCACTGTACTTCAGCCTGGGCAACAGAGGGAGACCCTGTCTCATAACAAACAAACAAAAAAATTCTTTCCTTTAGAGGACTTTTAATTTATGTATCTGCAATTTTTTTAAAAAAACACAAGCTGGCAGTATGTATCTGCGTTTAAAATGATCTTTTCCTCTGACTCCAGTTCCTTATAGATATTGATCACATCTGGGCTTTTGTTGTTGTTGTTGTTTTCTCTCTTATGAAACTATCAGGATCACATCTATTTTATTTCTCAATGTATATCCAGAGTTTGGTATAGTGCAAAAAATAGAGGAGGTGACAATTACAACACTTTTCTGTCACATTCCCTTTTGATCTTCCAGGCAAAAGTTAGAACTCTACCTATCAGGGACTCGATGGTGGGCACCTCGCCGAGGTCGTCCAGCAGTTCGTGGATTGGATCATTGTGCTCCGGAGCAATGGCATCCTGGTGATCCAACAGGAGCTGCAAACACCAATGATCAACTCCATTTATACATTCAACTCTTCAGCCCGTCCCTCCCTAGAATGTCTAACAATGATCTGCACAAAGAGGTTCCAACAAAGTTCCTATATTCAAAGAAACAACAAGCAAATCCTCAGCAAACTAACCCAAATAAACAATATGATATATAAGGCACCACACCAGGCTCTGTTGAATGACTTATGTTATGATATAAGAAGAGGAAATACTGGTATTCTCTTAACCTCATGGCCATAAAGGATTCAAATGTGCCCTGTTTGAGAAAGAACACTGGCTGGGTGCAGTGGCTCACGTCTGTAATTCTAGCATTTTGGGAAGCCAAGGCGGGTGGATCACCTGAGGTCAGGCGTTCAAGACCAGCCTGGACAACATGATGAAACCCTGTCTCTACTAAAAATACAAAAATTAGCTGGGCGTGCTGGTGTGTGCCTGTAATCCCAGCTACTAGGGAGGCTGATGCAGAAGAATTGCTTGAACCCAGTAGGTGGAGGTTGCAGTGAGCCAAGATTGCGCCATTGCACTCCAGCCTGAGTGACAGAGCAAGACTCCATCTCAAAAAAACAAAACAAAACAAACAAACACAAAAAACCCACAAAACACTGAAACTCAAAGTTCAATACCCAAAGTCATCAATGTACCCTACTGCCAGTTCAAATAAGTCACGTGCACGCTTTTACTTAATGTTTCCAGTGTATGACATGATTTAATTCAGAGAAAAGTATACCAAATCAATGTTATAATTATTGTAGGGGCACTCAACAAAGTCTTCAAGGTGCCATTATCCCCAGTGATGCCCTCAGAAATGACAGTAACCTGAAATTTCATTTACATTTTAACATATGCCCTTGTTCCTGTTTTACATGTCCATGTCCCCAGAGGGGAAAAAATGATTTGAAAAATCTGAAGAAACATGGAGCTCCAGCTTCCAAGGGAAAAATCCACTCCAAGGCTACACAGAGAAAGCTAGTATTCTAGATCATGTTAGAAAAATAACGCAGAGAGCTAGGGTAAAAAGAAAGAAGAGTAAAAGCACTATTTTATTAAGGCAATAGATAAATTTAGTGGGATTTTGATTCAGTAGGCCTGGGGCGGTGTCCAGGAAACTTCATTTTTAACTATCAGCCCATAGGATTCTGATGCAGGTGGCCTGGGAAGACCTTTTAGAAACTTAGCAGTAGATACTGTTAAGAATAACAAGCAAAAGGCCAGGCGTGGTGGCTCACGCCTGTAATCCCAGCACTTTTGGGGGCCGAGGTGGGCAGATCATGAGGTCAGGATATCGACACCATGCTGGCTAACACAGTGAAACCCCGTCTCTACCAAAAATTCAAAAAATTTAGCCAGGCACGGTGGCGGGTGCCTGTAGTCCCAGCTACTCGGGAGGCTGAGGCAGGAGAATGGTGTGAACCCAGGAGGTGGAGCTTGCAGTGAGCCGAGATCGCGCCACTGCACTCCAGCCTGGGCAACACAGTGAGACTCTGTCTCAAAAAATAAATAAATAAACAAAAAAGAATAACAAGCAAAAAAAGAGACATCAAGGAGATGCATTGTCAGTTAGATTACAGGAAGGTTAGACACCTGGCTACCAGAGATGATAAGCAGCAGCCAGGGATAATAATTAAGGACAATGAAATTAAGTAATTAAAGAAAAATACTTACAGTGTGGGTGTTGATGATTTCACCAATGGAAATGTAGATTACTGGTTTGGTGAGGGTTACTAAATCAGAGTACTCATCCACATTAAATTTATCCTGAAGCTCTGGGACATCACAAGCAGTTTGGAAAAACCGTCTGAAATAAGCACAGGAGGCAGCCCCCCAAAAAGGGACATACACATGAAGTTGGCAAGAGGACATTTCACAAACCTCTCACACAATGAGTGCAAACAGAAGCCAGTCAACAGTTACTTCAAGAGAAAGTGCTGTGTGTTTGCTGTGCTTGACAACCTTGGGATAGTGGTTCGAATAACTTCTTTCTCCACCTAGTTTGTAGTTTTAGTTTTACCCATAAGAACCATTGCACCATGACTTAAAAGTTTCCAGACACCATTAGGAGAACCAATTCTATCTCTAAGACAGTGCTCTGAAGCACTGAATTCAAAACTAGATGTTAATTTACAAAAATTAAAAGCATTCTCCAATTCTTCTCTGATTACAAGGTAACATGTACTAAATGCATAATCATCATTATTTTTATGTTAACTACTATCTATTTCATAAGTGTTAACTACTATCTATTTCATATGAAAATTCTCTTCAAAGTAAATGGATCATCTTCTGGAATCCTGGGCACATCAAACACGTCTTCTACATATGGCAGTCCGGGGAAAGTGAGAGGTGGTTTTTAATCTTATTTTTCCCCTCAACAATAAAAATACATCCACAGACTCTCTTAAGCACTTGTGCCTTTCCCCTTACCTGAATTTCTGGTAGGACTGGGAAAGATATTCATTAATGATGCTTAAGTGGGCATTATCTCCCAGAAACATCTTATTGGAAGCAGCATGCTGAAGCATTTTTGCAATGGAGCCCAGATTTCGGCGTTGGTCTGTGGTAAGCTGGCCTCCTGCTGACAGGTCAATGATGTCAAAGGCATCAGGAGCAACAATGGCTGGATTCATGTATCGATAATAAAGCAAGTTACCAATAATCTGGAACAGACGAAACAGAAAGATGGGTATTAAAAGACATACCACCAAGGAAGCTATAAATGACTTTGCTAGCAAAGAAAAGCAGAAAATGCAGTCCTATGAGGAAAAAATAAATAAAAAATACATATACACACGCATGCATGCACATATACACACTCTCTCTCATGGCCTGGAACTAAATGAAATATCCCTTTGTTCAATACAGGAAAACAATGAGAACAGAACTGAAAACTACTGCCAGTAGTTAATGAAAGAGCAGATTCAGAAGGTAAAAATGACACACTTAAAGTCTGTTATTAAGTATTTCAGGGCATCTTTTGTTCACATATCATGGTAGCAAATAAGGCTGCTGTCACCCACATGCACTTTGTACTTTCATGTAGATGGGCTTTCCTTATAAAAAGCTAACAAACATAGCTAAATTCCTTAACATGACCCAATCAGCATAGAGTAACCCCACCTCCCAACATTCTCATGCTGCAGACTTCAAAGGCCAAGTTCATGCCTCTGAAATTAAATTCACTTAACACACATCTCTTCCACAGAAGAATTCAGGGGCAGTCACAGCATTTCCCCTAGAGTTTCATTCAGAAGAAATAAAATTAATTCACCTGAACAGAAAGTCTAGAATCGAGGCCTCACTGTAGGAAAGCACAGAACTAGGAGAGAGAAGAAAAAAGCATTCAGATTAAAAAAAAAAAGAAAAGAGAAGAGCATAGCTGAGTAAGAAAGAGTTATCAGCAACAGCCTTAGCAGAAACAACTGTGCCTGCTACTATTCGCCAGGTCACCAGCAGAGGGAACAATACTACAGCGAAAAGATAGGACTCAAAGAAACTCATCTGAAAACAGGAAAAATCCATCTTTCTACTTGTTTGATGTTTGTGTGCCAAACTATAGGAAGTGTTTCATCCTAAGAGAGGTACCATTTACCAATTACAATTGCTTTCAAAAGCTCACAATCAATGGTAAGCTACTGCCAGAACCTACACTTAGGCAGTTAGTAATGATCTATGGTCAGCCCTGGTTTTATTGCTTTGTCCTCAAAGGGCAGGAGTCTGCCGGCTATGAGATTCTTACCTTCAGCAGCTCATCCTCACCAGCATCAGGGAACTTCTCATGCAACGAGTCCTTCAGCACTTTGGCAATGAAGCGCATCCCATAACTGCGGGATGGACAAAACTTAGTGAGAAGGGCCAAGGAGCAGAAAGGCACTTAGTGCTGGGTTCTACTGGGGGTCATGACAACTGATGGCACTCACGGGATTTTGTCCACAGAGCTGACAATGGCTGAGAGAAACTTGTCTGTCACAGCCCGCATGTTCCTGATGGAGCTGTCTAGCCGTGTCTTCACTTCTTCATGAGCTAGCGCCTGCTCAGGGGTCACATCATAGGGCAGTTTGCTGGGAAGACAGAAATTATACCCAACTATGTTAGACTAACAGCCAGGAACAGCCTGAAGCAAGTGTCTTATCTTTCATAAACTATAAGACCCAGAAATATTAGATAGCTTAAGCTCATCCTCACGGGGCTGGTAAGTGATAAGTCTAGAATCTGAACGCAGGTTTTTAACTGTGAATCAGGTGCCTGAATTGTGTGCCAGGCACAATAACAGGCACTTGGGAATAAAAGTTATACAAGACATGACACCTTCTCTTCAGTCTTTTACAGTCTGGTGGGAGCGACACACAAACAGATGATTATAAACCTATTGTGCTGTAAATCAGTTCACCAAAAGTGCCACAGGACCATAGGGAAAGGGCTTCAACTCAGAATGGAAAAAGCAAGGAAAGCTTCCAAAACGAAGGGATGCTTGAACTCAGGAAAAAAGGAGAGGAAGAGTCTTCTAGGAAGGAAGGGGAGACAGGAGAAATGACAGTGGAAAAGCAGACAGGGAGCAGGCCATGACAGACCCCGTATATGATACTGACAAATCTGGACTTTGTTAGAAACCAGAAGGAGGTCTTCAAGGATAGGAGTGCTATGCCAGGCACAGCAGCACATGCTAGCATTCCCAGCTACTAGGAAGGCTGAGGTGGGAGGACTGCTTGAGCAAGACCTTGTCTTAAAAAAAAAAAAAAAAAAAAAAAAAAGAGGCAGAGAGAGCTTTGGTACACACAGAAGGGGAAGAGAAGGCAATGTGACCACAAAGGCAGAGGCTGGAACCACACAGCCACAAGTTGAGGGATGTCAACAGTCACCACAAGCTCTAAGAGTCAAGAAACAGAGTTTCCACTAGAGCCTCTGCAGGGAGCGTGGCTCTTCCAGCACCTCGACTTCATGATAATGGTTTCAAATTTCTGGCCTCCACAATTGTGAGACCATGACTTTCGGTTGTTTTAAGCCACCCAATTTGAGGTGATTTGTTATGGCAGCCTTAGAAAATACAAGTAGAGGCCGGGTGTGGTGGCTCACGCCTGTCATCCTAGCACTTTGGGAGGCCGAGGCGGGTGGATCACCTGAGGTCAGGAGTTTGAGACCAGCCTGGCCAACATGGAGAAACCCCATCTTTACTATAAATACAAAAATTAGCCAGGCGTGTGGCGCATGCCTGTAATCCCAGCTATTCGGGAGGCTGAGGCAGCAGAATCGCTTGAACCAGGGAGGCAGAGGTTGCAGTGAGCTGAGATTACACCATTGCACTCCAGCCTGACCAACAGAACGAGACTCTGTCTCAACCACAACAACAAAAAGAAAAATACAAGTAGATAGGGATACCCCTCTTCATTTGTCATAGCATGGCTAAATTAAAATTGGTAGACTATGAACACAAAAATTCTGCAAAAATCAACAGAAACATTCTATGAGAAATAAATAAATACATGGAACTTAACAATAAAGAATATTGTATATTTTATTATTTATATGAGTTTTAAAAGTAGTAACCAGCAAGGGAATCAATATGCTAAAAAACGTTGGTGATAGAACAGAACATTAACTTTGAGATTTTAGGAAAGAACATTCCCAAGAGGTGACAAGATTCCAGTTTGCTACGTGTATGGTGGCTGAAGTAAAAGAAGAAAGCTAAGGGACCTGTGATGCTTACCTGCAGGACAGATCCCCACCACACCACCATCCCTCACAGTCACTGGTATCTTAAAAAGAGTTCAAATCAATTTCCTTTTTTTTTTTTTTTTTTTTTAAGATATGGGGTCTACATTGCCCAGGCAGTGCTCAAACTCCTGGGCTCAAGCGATCTTCCTGTCTTGGCCTCCTGAGCAACTGGGACTACTGGTGCATGCCACCATGCCTGGCTCAATTTCCATTTTATGAAAGGCAAAATAAGACACCAGTTTCTTATAGGTACCCACAAGAAAACCAATCCTGAAATGTCCAGCGGGCTTTGGATCTGAAAATGACTGACTCATGGACCATCAGAGGAAATAACTGAGAAGCCCGGAGCCAGTGTACATGGGGCTATCGGCAAGGAATGCCCTGGGTTGCAGGCAAAACTTCCCAGACAAGTATTGCACTTGGCTGACCACATTCCTGGATGTGGGCCTCAGGTATGCAGGCAAAAAAATTAAAAAGACTTTTGCAATGATCTGAGTCCTGATAACAGACCTACATGGTACTGAGAACCAATCAGATGCCAAATGATTCCTAATAAGGAAACGCCCCTTCTTTCTTTTTTTGTCAACCAGGATGGAGTGCAGTGGCGCCATCAAGGCACACTGCAGCCTCAACCTCCCATGCTCAACCTATCCTCCTGCCTCAGCCTCTGGAATAGCTGGAACTACAGGTGTGCACAACCACACCCAGCTAATTTTTTTTTTTTTTTTTTTTAAGTAGGGACAAGGTATCCCTATGTTACCCAGGCTGGTCTCAAACTCCTGAGCTCAAGCAATCCTCCCACCTCAGCCTCCCAAAGAGCTGGGATTACAGTCGTGAGCTACCATGGCTGGTGAGATAAGCCCTTTCAAGGAGTCAGCAGAATGTTCCGTTCTCCACCCAGCGTAAAACTCCCTGTTTGCCTGGCATCCGGGTACATGGAAAGTAGAATGAAGAATAGTGTTATTCAAAGTGTGGACCAGTGCCAGTCTACAAACTGATCAAAGACAAGATAAAGACAATGAGTCAGAATGTAAATCAATACATTACTTCCTTCATTAAGAAAATCTTGCTATGAAAAAAAAAGTATCAGTTAAACTAAACAGTGTGCACAGATGATTTTCCATTACTGGTGTGCAAACCACACTTTGAATAGCAATGGTGTGGACAGCTGCTACTCCACCTATGCCCAGAGAGCTTCATGCATGATCTAACTCTACTCCACAACAAGAAAAAACCACAACAGACCATGCTGCTCACACCTCCATCTCCCACCCCTCTGGGTCCTCACCCAAGACAAATAAAACCAGAAACGTTTTGGCATTCTGAACTCCCTTTTCCCAGCATTACCAATATTTGATTGGCACACTTTTGCTTTAGATAAATGAATGTTGGTGGTTACGCTATGGCCCTAGCTCAGCTATCTCCTGTAATACGTTAATTTAATTAGCCCAACTCACGATATTTCAGGGAAGCTCACTCCACACCGTTTTCTTTTTCCTTTAATGAAACACAGTGATCTCACCCAATCTATATGAACCTTCTCATTCAACTGTATCCCTAGTTATGCCAGGGTCCATTTAAGTCCTACACCCTCCAGCTTAGAGTGTTCAGACATAAACACTCTGCACCTAGCTCTTAGTAAGGCTGGGTTCATCTTAGCTTTAGGGCCTCAGCTAAATGAAATTTTATCTTCCGGGATAGGCTTTCCCTAACCACCTTATGTTAGCTCCCTCTTATAAAGTCTCCATTAAAGAACCGTACATAAAACTTCATAAAACTTTCTTCAATGTTTAATTATGCTTTTATTTTTATGTACCTGGTTGGTGTCTCTTCCACCCAATGAACTATGAAGAGAGGGCAGGAAGCATGTCTGTTTCACTCATTATTGCATTACTGTACACATCTCTAACACAATGCCTGGCACATAGTTAATACTCAATAAATATTTGCTAAATAAGTGAATTTATTACTAGGTCAACAACTTAGAAAGCACAGTTTTCTAAAGAAAAACTATTTGAGGCTGGGTGTGGTGGCTCACAGCTGTAATCACAGCACTTTGGGAGGCCGAGGCAGATGGATTGCCTGAGGTCAGGAGTTCGAGACCAGTCTGGCCAACATGGTGAAACCCAGTCTTACTAAAAATACAAAAATCAGACAGGTGTGGTAGCGTGCAACTGTAATCCCAGCTACTCGGGAGGCTGGGGCATGAGAATTGCTTAGACCTGGGAGGTGGAGGCTGCAGTGAGCTGAGATTATGCCACTGTACTCCAGCCTGGACGACAAGAGTGAAACTCTGTCTAAAAAAAGAAAAGAAAAGAAAAACTATTTGAACTAATATTAGTTTATAAATAAAGAGAGGGGAAAAAAGAGGGAAAGACTATAACAACATGAAAGAAAAGTGTCATTATGGTTAACATACCTTGCCTCTCCTGTCTGAGACTCCATCTGATTAACCCAAGATTTGTAAATATCCACAGGGTCAGTTTTGATGTTGAGAGATTTGTCATCCATAATTTCCTTCACGACTGGGGCCAAGATCTGTCTCAGGGCATTCTGGCCACGGGCACCACGGTTGAAACTTACAACCATTTTAATAACCGTAGGATTTCCTGTCACAATCTCTTGAATCTGATCTACCTTCGACCTATAAAACATCAGATAAAAATTTAAACTTGTCACAAAACCCATCAACTTAAAAGATCCTTCCTGCTTAAAGATCCTATCTCCCTGAAACAGTTTCTCTCGAAACATTCCCCAGCACTCACAGAATGTTCCTGCAGCTGCACGCTCAATCGTGGTCATGATTGGGTCCGCTACTAGATAAAAATGTGAATTCTTTCTGTTCAGATTACTTTTTGAAATTATACCTTAATACAGAATGTTCCTAAAGTTAATTTATCCCTTCCCTAGAAGCAGCAAGATTTTATATCAGTTATTTAAAAATTAGATGCTTCTTTAGAGTAAGTATTTTTCATAAATTAATTGAGATCAAGAAAAGATCAGGAAGGCATGAATCTCAAACTGGGAGCCCCTCTGATAGTGGGAAGGGGCCTGTGCCCTGAGGAAATCTGTTCATACTTGATTTCCTCTTGGAGTGCTGTCTTAAAGAGCCGCAGGAGCAGGTACTCCTCTCGCTGGTTGGACGCGTAGTTGTAGAGTGTGAAGATTACAGAGTCCATGAACTTGGTGGACTTGTTCTGGGGCATCTGAAAAATGAGCTTGGCCAGATAGGTGGGATTGGTCTGAAATAAAACCAAGGGATAAGTCATTTGTAGGTAATATAAAGGCTGGCAAGATATATTCAATTATTTAAAATTGAAGGACTACAATACATATGAGAAAAAAGATTAATAAATTAACATGTTACAGTGCCCCTCACTCACCCCTCAGTGGAAGTCAAAAATACTTCCAGAGAGATCGATGGTAAGGCTTTCTTGTGGAAAAATAAATTCACTAAATTTTTATAACACTGATTCCAGGAGCCACTTACTTGCAATAAATAAAACAGGTGCTGGTAAGCTTCCAACTTCTCTCTCTTCTCCTTGCTCAAAGCCTTGAGACCTCCCTTCTGTTTATTTATCATCATCATATCAGACAACTGTTCCTTATTTTTTTTGGTAAGTTTTTTACTGTGGGAAACCACATCCTATAAACAAAAACCAATAAATAGATCAGAAAGCTTTCAAAGATGAACCTCTGGGCATTGAGGAAAGGTTTTGCAGCATGTGCAAACTCACATGAAGGTGTACTGCACTGGCAGATTCCCACTGAATATTTAAAAACCACTACACTTTATCCTGTTTTCAGTACACCAGTCAAATCCATTCCTATGTTCCAACAAAGAATCTGAGCCATAAGAATGTCCACTGAATTGGCAAACCAACTTCCAGCAGTCTATTATAAAAATAAGTCTTAAATACAATAAAAGCTACATATATATTGAAACATTAATTGCAATGTTATTTATAATAAACGCTTGGAAAACAACCTAAATGTCAAATACTAGGGGAAAAAGAGGTAAATCATAGTATATCTTCTAAAAATCTAATATGCTACTGTTAAAAATAATATTTATGGCTGGGTGCAGCGGCTCACACCTGTAATCCCAGCACTTTGGGAGGCTGAGGCAGGAGGATCACCTGAGCCCAGGAGTTTTGAGACCAGCCTGGGCAATACAAAGATACCCTATCTCTTATAAAAATATAATTTGCCAGACGTGGTGGCATGCACCTGTCGTCCTAGCTACTTGAGAGGCTGAAGTGGGAGAATCACTTGAGCCTAGGAGGTCGAGGTTGCAGTGAGTCATGATCATGCCACTGCACTCCAGCCTGGGGTACAGAGGGAAACTCTGTTTCAAAAAATAAAATTAAAAAAAAATTATGACTACTTATCATAGGGAAAGAGTCTTATCCTTTAATATGAAGTAAGAATGTAAGATACAAAATGACTGGGGTAGGTGAAATTAGGGGAAGACATTTATCTTCTTTTCTCTATCAAAATTTTGTCAATTAAGTTGTTTTATGTCTTAAATAATTTTTTTTTTTTTTTTTTTTTTGGAGATAGAGTTTCACTCTGTCACCCAGTCCGGAGTGCAGTCATGCAATCTTGGCTCACTGCAACCTCTGCCTCCCAGGTTCAAGCGATTCTTCCACCTCAGCCTCCTGAGTAGCTGAAATTACAGGCATGTACTACCATGTCCAGCTAATTTTTTTTAATTTTTAGTAGAGACAGGGTTTCACCATGTTGGCCTGGCTGGTCTCAAACTCCTGGCTTCAAGTGATCCGCCCTTCTCGGCCTCCCAAAGTGCTGGGATTATAGGTGTGAGCCATCATGCCTGACCTGTCTTACATAACTTTTTTAAAAGCTTATGATGGCCGGGCATGGTGGCTCATGTTTGTAATCCCAGCACTTTGGGAAGCCAAGGTGAGTGGATCAATCACTTGAGGCCAGGAGTTCCAGACCAGCCTGGCCAACATGGTGAAACCCCCGTCTCTACTAAAAATGCAAAAAAGCCGGGTGTCGTGGCTCACGCCTGTAATCCCAGCACTTTGGGAGGCTGAGGCGGGTGGATCACCCGAGGTCAGGACTTCAAGACCAGCCTGGTCAACATGGCGAAACGCCATCTCCAGTAAAAATACAAAAATTACCAGGGTGTAGTGGCATGCGCCTGTAATCCCAGCTACTTGGGAGGCTGAGGCAGGAGAATCGCTGAACCTGCGAGGCAGAGGTTGCAGTGAGCCGAGATCACGCCACTGCACTCCAGCCTGAGCGACGAGAGGGAAACTCCGTCAGCAAAAAAAAAAAAAAAAAAAAAGCCAAAAATCAAAAAACATTAGCCAGGTATAGTGTCACGTGCCTGTAATCCCAGATACTTAGGAGGTTGAGGGAGGAGAATTGCTTGAACCTGGGAGGCAGAGGTTGCAGTGAGCTGAGATCACATCGCACTACAACCTGGGCAACAGAGTGAGACTCAGTCAAAAGAAAAAAAAAAAGCTCTTATGGCAGTAGCTGAGGAGAAAGTCAGCCTCCACCCTCCCCACCAGTCAGAAAGGGGAATGCAGGGGTTACAAAGCAGGATGAACCGTTCCAAGGCCCCCGCTGGCACTGGGCCATACCTGCAACGTAATCTTATTTTTCACTAGCAGTCCAATTTTGATATCCATGAGATTGAGGTCATTCTCCAGCTGCTGGTTAGAACGAATGAGGGTGATAACCTCTTCCCGCATCTTCATAAGGTCAAGCTCCTCCTGAAAATCCTGGTCACTTTGGTCCAGCAGGTGGACAAATTTTCGGACCACAACCATAGGAGGATCCTCAGCATTGACTGACAGAAAGTATGCATCAAAGAATGGAGTTAGCAGAAAAAGTACTACGTCTCAGGAAATAGCATTGTCTTGAAAAAGTAGTCTATTCATAAACATTTAATTTTGAGATGTGCTAAGACAACTATCAGGTGCAGTCTTCTGTGTCAGGCTATTGCTATGTTATGATAAAGGTTAATGCAACAAGCCAACAAGACACCTAGCCACATGTTAGCAAAGGGGCTTATGTCACAGGTCACACCCTCTCCCCCAAGCCTTGCCTTCAGGATAACAAAAGAGGTCTGTGGAGAATACCCTGAACTTGGTGGCTCCCAGCCACTGCCTCAACTCTTCATGCGGAGCCAGTTACTCACTGAGAGTCTTGTAGTCATCCCGAGCTTTGTTTGCCCGAATAAAAGCCTGGATTTTGATAATGTCATTTATCTAAGGAACAAAAAAGAAGAAATTTCTCTGTTCATCTGTCTACCAAAAATATGGCAAAATTGCCCCTAATGGCCTGTATGATCCAAGGGTGCTTACATGGTCCCGGAAGTACTGCAGGCGATCTCGATAGCGCTTTCGAGCTTGGTGCATCCTTGCCAGGGACTGAATCTGTGGAAAAGGGATCCTGGAAATTAGAAGAGTCCTTCATCTCAACACGTGTTATACCTGTGCCCCTCATGGAGAAACCCTGTTCAGGCTACCATACCTTTACAACTTCATCTTTGTGGGAGCGCAGGTAAGCTAACCGATCTTGATATGCCTTCTTCTGCTTGTATCCTCTCCACTGTGACTGAAACAGTCAAATGTTACAGAAGACATATTACTTCCCAAGCATCAATGGAAGTTAAAAAAAAACTTTCATCTTGATACATGATCCAAGTGCAATTTCATGATGAAGTTTTAGGAAGGACCACTTCCAGCAGTGACAGGGGAACAAGGGCACGGGCCATCCCTCCACTGGAAGAACACGATGGCTACATTCTACTTCCCCAACGTCAGCACAGCCCTGCACACCTTTTACAGTGCAGCCATACAGATTCATTTACTGGCTTCTTACAACAAACCAGGTGAGGAAGATAAGATACAATGGGGCATTCCCCTTTTACAGATGGGGACAAAGACTTGGAGATTCACCACTGTCTGGCAGTAGTGCAGCCATCATTCCTAACTCAGAATTCTTTCCAGGACATTGTGCTACCTTATCATTGAAGCCAGACCACAGTTGTTTCCCTCAAGGTTCAAATCTTACAGAAAGGTACAGTCTTAGAAGAAGAGAGGAAGAGGTACCCAAGAACTGCCACTGTGCCAGCATTAAACACCTGTAGGCACACTACAGTTAAATGGTAGTAAAGAGGAGGTACCTGTCAAAGGAAAGAGAAGACTAAGAGTCCAGCACTCAAAAAACACACTCAGACAGTCAATGGTGACAGCTGACCGTTTATTACCCCTGCTCTAGATGCCCGCTTGCTGTCTGTGTGATAGGTTCTGAAATACCTGAATGCAGGTGATGGCAGGGATTTGTTTCTTCAGGAAATTCATCCTGGATCGGAATTCCTGTCGAACTAAGTATCCACGGCAGCGAGCCTGCAGCCTGGTGATCAGGCCTTCATTGGCCAGCCACAGCTGTTCTCGGTTATATGCGGCAGTCACCCCAGAGATAGAACTCTGAAAAAGCAGTGGTCACATTCAAAGACATTCACAGGCAAGAATGGATGCAGGTTTTCACGAAGTATCATCCACAGCACACAAGCTAACACCTCCTGCTTCCTAAGTCTATACTAGATCATTAGCTACATAACAGGAATAAAGCCCTCAGGTCTGTTTTTTAGGACTAGGTTGTTCTCACACACGTCCTCCCACCTAGAAAACACTTCATAAACAAAAACTTGATCTTCTTTTACTTCATATGTCATCTCACTTATCTACCTATCCAACACTGACTAGGCTGGGCACTGTGCTGGCTGATCTGGGGTCACTGTAGACAAGAACAGAGTGACAGGTACCCAACAGGGCTGTGTGCCACGTACCGAGGGACCCCTAGAATGTCACAATGCAGGACATCTCAGGGGGAGAGACCAGAGGTGAGGACTGAAAATTGCTTCTCCAGGCAGATTGCAAATGGTCTTGAAAAGTAGCCTAGAGGGTTTGGACTGTTACTAAAGATACTGGACAGCCAGGAAATTTTGTCAAGCAAAGGAATAAAACAATCAGATGTTTATTATTTACTTTAGAGACAAGGTTTCATTCTGTCATCCAGGCTGGAGTGCAGTGGTACAATCTCAGCTCGCTGCAGCCTCAAACTCCTGGGCTCAAGCAATCCTCCCACCTCACCTCCTGAGTAGCTGGGGCTACAAGTGTACCACCATACCTGGCTAATTTTAATTTTTTAAAAAATATTTTTTGTAGAGGTGAGTCCTCATTATATTGCCCAGGGTGGAGATTATTTTTAGAAAAACAATACTGTTAGGAAAGCAGCTGACAGATTAGAGTGAGAAGAGACTTCAACCAAGTGGGTGAATTACAATGCTGCTATTGTGATCCAAGTGACAGATGGCCTGGGCTTGAACAAGGGCAGCAGCAGTAAGAATGGTTAGGAACATCTAGTTACTTATCCACATCTACCTTCTCCTTTCTCCTTGGTACCAGAGCCTCGATTTTTTTTTTTTTCTGGGCAACACTGTATGCACTTAAAAGACTCCACGAGTGGCCAGGCGTGGTGGCTCACGCCTGTAATCCCAGCACTTTGGGAGGCTGAGGTGGGTGGATCACCTGAGGTCAGGAGTTCGAGACCAGCCTGACCAACATGGAGAAACCCCATCTCTACTAAAAATACAAAAATTAGCCAGGTGTGGTGGCGCATGCCTGTAATCCCAGCTACTGGGGAGGCTGAGGCAGGAGAATCGCTTGAACCTGGGAGGCGGAAGCTGTGGTGAGCCAAGATCGCGCCATTGCATTCCAGCCTGGGCAACAAGAGCGAAACTCCGCTTCAAAAAAAAAAAAAAGACTTCATGAGGTAGAGCGAGGTCATGCGCTGTGAGCAGTAGTAGTATGGCAAGACCTTTGAGAAAGCTCCTTGAGAGAAACAGACAGCTGACAGTACACCTTTTTTGCTCTCCTTCCCCTTCTTCCTACTTCCTGCTTGGACTGCTAACTTGATGGTCAAAGCTCCAAACTGTCATTATAGGTGACAAGGTGACCTTGAGAATGGAAGCCACATGCTAAGAATGACAGAGCACAAAGATGAAGGATCCTGGGACAGATGATACCATGAAGCCACATTTTCCCTGGACTGCTGAACTGCAGAATCATTTCATGTGAGATAAAAATACAACCTTATACACTATTGCAGCCTCTGGTTTTTTCCTGTTAAACTGTGTTTGAGGTGTCTGCTGGACTTCTGGACTGCAAAATGAAGGGCAAAAACCTGGTGGTGGGGAAAAGGGCTAACGTCTGGAGGTACAGATTTAGGAGTCACAAGCACAAGGGTAAGGGCTAGAGCCACAGGCTTGAAAGAGATCACTCAGGAAGAATGTGTAGGAGAAGGCAGCCAATGGACTCTTTGTATAATTCAAGCAGAGGTCGAGAAAGGAAGGTAGCAAGAGAGATTAAGAAGGAACATTTAGAAGCAGGAAAATTAGAAGAGAGTTGGATGGCAGAAGCCAAAGGAATTGAGGGTTTGAGGAAGAGACTTTTGACAAGTCAAATATGATGAGTGCTCAGAATTGAATTTGGCAATTAAAAGGTTATTGATGAATTCTAAAATAAGAGTTTTACTAAGTAAAAGCTGGACAGGAAACCACACTGCTGTGAGCCAAGAAGTGGATGGTAACAGAGAGTGAATTAGTGACGAGTAGACTAACTTTCAAGGCCCTTAGCAAGAGTATGAATGTAGGTGAGGCCAGATCAGGGAAATTCCATGGGCTTTAAAAAAATTTTGTATTATTATTTTTTCAAAGATGTGGGAAATAAAGATGCTTAAGTATGTAGGCTGCTACTTAAAATACAGTCCTTGGGCCAGCAGCATCAACATCACCTGAAAGCTTGTCAGAAACAGATTTTCTCAGACCTCGCACTAGAATCAGAGCCTTCATTTTAACAAGATCCCAGGTGATTCAGACAGACATTAAATCCTGACAAGCACTGGAGGAAGAGCACAAAAAGTACAAGGTCTGCAAGGAACTGGGAGAGGATGAAATCAAGCAGTAAGATCAATAATGAGCTTTAGAAAGGATAGCTGTTTCCTCCAGAGAGAAAATGAAGAAGGAATCAGTGAAAATCCAAGTAAGTTCAAAGTACAGAGTGGTGAGTAGAGTGGGAGGATCTATATGTGATCGCCACTATTGTTGGCAGGAGAGGTAAGAGGTCAGGTCACATGCTGAAAATGAGGTAGCATCCCTTCCCTGTTTAAATTCTTAGGTCCATATATGCAAAACACTATTCAAACATGAGTGTTTCTGTGGAGGTTAATAAGATTCTCAAAGGTGTCCCTGAACTAACAAGAGTTAAAAATCACTCTGCTAGAAGTTGTACCCTGAATTCCTTAGCACAGCACATTAGGCCCTCAAGCTTCAACCTGGGCCTCTTGTCCTGCCACTCCTACCACGTGCCAGGTAATACACCATTCGCCTCTCCTTCAGTGGTCCATGTCCTTTCAGTACTCTGTGCTTTTTCCTTTTCTATTTTCTCTCCTACTTCCTTTTTATAATTTCAGCAAGCTCATCCTTAACTTTCCCTTTCTGTCTAGAACAGCCTTTTCTTTTTTTCCTCAGCTGCTAAAATATTATCTACGCTATGTTACTCCAGGACAAAATGAAAAATTCCCTTAAGACTTCCCTTATTGTGCTGTGATTAGAGCACCACTTCTCTCTGCCTTACATTACAGTACTCGGTTTTGTGTCTGCTGTTTTCACAACACTGTGAAACAATGGAAGGTAGAGACTCTCTGATACATATTTCTGTCTTCTCAATGCCCAGAACAGAGTTCAATGAATTTAAATTTCATCACCTGTGAAATCATTAGCAATGAAGATGAAACACTGGAAGGGTAAGAGACTGTAACCCACCATATAAAGAGAACTTTAACCACAAGGTAGAAATCACCCATCTGATGTTAACTCCTAAATAAAGGGACTATTTCAGTTTTTCCACAGGTGTATTTTTGACTTGTTCCACACACGATTTGGGAAATATTGCCAAAGGGAAGTAAATGACCTTTTGAAAATCTTTTACTGTCGTTTTTCTCTAGGAATCCTGAATGTCTGTTAGTAATATGTCTAACGACCTACAGGAGCTTACTGAGCATCTTCCCCCAGTATATATTCCTCCCCTTTAACATTCATTAAACAACTCTGGTTTAAGTAACAGGAGTGCAGCACCAAGTTAAAACTTAAAAGTCCTCAACAGTCCATCAATGACAATGTAACTTCCCCTTTGAGAAAGTACTGCAAACTTAGCAGCTCACCTTAAAAACTACTAGGGGGCATAGACAAGCACAAATGTCACTAAAATTCGAATCCAAGTACATTAAATTCTGAATGAATACCAAGTTCTTTGGGAGCTTCAAAGGAAGATGAAGGGGGTAAGGAAAGGAAATTTTAAAAAGATTCATAGAGGAGGTGACTTGAGATGGGTGTGCTTGGAGGACTGAATTTTTAAATTAAATATTCCTTTTTTTGAGACAGGGTCTTGCTCTGTTGCCCAGGCTGGAGTGCACTGCTGTGATCATGGCTCGTTACAGCCTTGACCTCCCGGGCTCAAGTGATCCTTCTGCCTCATCCTCCCAAGTAGCTGGAATCACAGACACACACCACTATGCCCAGCTAATTTTTGTATTTTTTGCAGAGATGAGGTTTCACCATGTTGCCCAGGCTTGTCTTGAACTCCTGGGCTCAAGCAGTCTTTTTGCCTTAGCCTCTCAAAGTGCTGGGATTACAGGTGTGAGCCACCATGCCCAGCCTGAATTTTTTTCTTTTATGATACCAACAATCAGTACAAAGGGAAGGAAAGAATTTTGACAGATATAGATGGCAGGGGAGAGACATCTCATGACAGCAGAGACTTTGTTTGGTTCATGACTATATCCCCATTCCTTAGAAGAGTACCTGCTACATTTGAGGTATTCAACAAATAACTGTTGAATGGGCTGGGTGTGCTGGCTCACGCCTGTAATCCCAGTACTTTGGGAGGCTGAGGCGGGTGGACCACTTGAGGCCAGGAGTTCAAGACCAGCCTGGCCAACAGGGCAAAACCTCGTCTCTACTAAAATTACAAAATTAGCCAGGTGTGGTGCATGCCTGTAATCCCAGGTATTCGGGAGGCTGAGGCAGAAGAATCGCTTGAACCCAGGGAGGTGGAGGTTGCAGTGAGCCGAGAATGCACCACTGCACTCCAGCCTAGGTGACACAGTGAGACTCTGTTTCAAAAAAAAAACAAAAAACAAACAAACAAACAAACAAAAACTGTTGAATGGAACAGTATAAGCAAAGACACAAAGACACAGAAGATGAAAAAGTACTTTAAAAGCTCTATGAAAATGCTAACTTTATTTGAAAGTGCAGGTTGTAGCTAATATAATTTGTGGAACAGTTAGAAGAGAGACTGAAAATATAAACTGGGAGAGATTAAAATAGTTGCATTTAATGGAGTTAGCAACTTTTCATTTTTCTTTTATAGATCATCTAACTTTTCTTAGCATATGGTTTATATCACTTAATTCTATAATTCAGATGTTTTACAAATTCAGGCCTCAGTCACTCCCCCAACTACTACAAAAAAATTACCGCAAAACAGCTCATTACATAACCTCAATTTTAGTCTAGGGCTTCTGACCACATGCCCTGTTCCTCTTAATTAATATTATAGCTTGAAAACACTTTCTCTCAGCTTCTTCTTACGTGAAGAAAGGTAACCTACCTGGATCTCCTCCCGAGAAAGCTGCATAGAATTTTGCACAAAATTTGGAGGTTCATCCCATCCTCCTTCCTGGGTCTCCAGATTGTGGTAATAATAATATCCACCTTTTACCCAGTGCTTCACCCACTTGCTGTTATTATCTCCTGGCAGAAAATAAAGGAAAGATAGAAGACATCCAGAGCCACACTCCCCAGCTGTACGTCCAGAACTGCAGGATTATTAGTTAGTCTCACAGTCTAAATGAAGACCACTCCAAAAGCTGCTCCTTGGATCTGTGAGAGTAAAGGGGCATGCTAAGCTCCCATTAAATTATGGCTTTGTAATGACTAATTTAGCTCATTTATGTCTATAAGAAGAAAATACCTATGAAGTCCAATTATGGAATTAACCATGATTAACTTTGTTCACTCCAAAGCCAAAGTTTAAGGCCTGTCTGTCTTAAAAAATGTGCAACCATTCAGCCTCTCCAGTTTTTCAATTTATTATTATTATTTTTTTTTTCAGACAGAGTCTTGCTCTGTTGCCCAGGCTGGAATGCAGTGGCATGATCTTGGCTCACGGCAGCCTCTGCCTCCCGGGTTCAGGCGATTCTCCGGCCCCAGCCTCCCGGGTAGCTGGGATTACAGGCACACGCCACCACACTCAGCTAATTTTTGTATTTTTAGTAGAGACAGGGTTTTACCATGTTGGCCAGGCTAGTCTTGAACTCCTGACCTCAGGCGATCTGCCCGCCTCAGCCTCCCAAAGTGCTGGGATTACAGGCGTGTGCCACCGCACCCGGCCCAGTTTTTTAATTTTTAAAAGTCCATAAAATGGGGTAAGAAATCTTATTTCTTTCCCTCTTTTTACAGACAAACTACTTTTAATTGCCTATAGGCTTAATCAGAGCTACTGCTACTCTGTGAAAGATAAACAGTTAAATATTTTAATCTTTCCCACATTCTCAGAAAATTGGCCTTATTAACACAGCTGTCCACAAGGGGGGGGGGAAGGATATTTTCAAAAATAGGGATTTTATCTCCTTTAAAATGAGCCTAAGTACTGTACATCTATGCTAAAAGGTCTTTCCCTATAGCTTATCCCTTTCCTCTACATCTGTCCCCTCATATACTCAAGGGTTAGCTTCAGGGCACATATGTATTATCCCAGAACTCACCTACTGCCAGTTTTTTCTTCTTGGCTTCAGCAAGATCACTGTGGTAAGTTTCACCACACTCAGGGATGACTCCATACAAGCCAACATCAGGGGAGCGAAGGGCACTCAGTGTTTTGCCAACATCACCACTTTCTACTGCCTCATTAATGGCAAAGATTCCTAAGGCAACTATTTCGGGAAAGAACTGTTACCAGAATAGTTTAGAGAGTGTCTAAATTCACATACTGCTTCACCTAACTATATCTACTGGCAAATTGTTCCCCCATACCTATCTTGGTCAAGCTGTACGGAGCACCTTGTCACCCCAGCCTCCACCAAAACAGAAATAAAACAGGTGATACATACACTTCTGTGCTTCTTGGGTGTCTTTGTTGGACTGCCAGATTCCACCTTGAATTTCATCCAACCATAACACAGCTGACTCATCCTGGATTTCCTACATATCATTAAAAGCAAAATATTAAAGTCATGAAATCAGGGTACATGTAACATACATGTGAAGAAGGGGGCTTCCTAGACTCAATTAAATATGGAAGAACAGGCTTAAAAAATATGAGACACGTGGGTTAGTCAAATGGAAGAAGGAGGCATCAAAAAACTGGTAAAAAGTTGGATGCAGTGACTCACACCTGTAATCCAACACTTTGGGGGCGCTGAGGCAGAAGGAATGCTTGAGCCCAGGAGCTCGAGACCAGCCTGGGCAACATAGTGAGACCCCGTCTCTCTAAAAACAAACAAACAAACAAACAAACAAACAAACAAACATAGCTTGGCCAGGCATGGTGGTGCACGCCTATAGTCCCAGCTACTAGGGAGGCTGAGGCAGGATTGCTTGAGCCCAGGAGGTTAGGCTGCAGTGAGCCATGTTCTTACCACTGCACTCCAGTCAAGAGTATAGACCGGTCTCCAAAAACAAACAAACTGGTAAAGGTCATAAGATAAGGGAAATGGCTCACATGTAGGTGAAGATTATATAAAGATGAATTTAAGTGGTTCAGGAAGTTGTGAACAGCTAGAAGGGGCAAGAGGCCCAGACAGACTGGGAAGGGGTCCAGAGACTTTAACAGGGTGACAAGGGCCAGGGTATATATATGAATATGCAGTACTTATTTGAAAGCCTCCTTTGCCAACAATGTTCAGAGGAAGTTAACGTTCTCTATGACTACTAATGTTTTTAAGACTGTCAAGTCTTACTTTAACCAGAATCTTTGACTCATCACATTTAAAGCCAGAAGTCACTACAGGCAATCTACATTTCTCACTAGCTGATATCCTAAAACTTGAATGTTAAATCAGTTGCTGGGAACTTAAAAGCAAATTTTCACACAGAAATATAATGAATGTTGTGATTACTTTCCTTAGTACAGCTAACAAAAGCCTCACAGCATAGTCTGAGTTGACTATTGTGGATAGAGATGATGTATGATGTAGTGGAGGTGACTTACTTTCCTCTTCCTAAATTCGTTAAGACAAGTTTCTTTTTTAAAGGCGCTTATTGGTGACCATTTGCTCTGAATGGCATTTTAAACAGAATTAGATTAGTAGAAATACCTTCCTCTAATATCTTCCAATTTTTTTTTTTTTTGAGACAGAGTCTCGCTCTGTCACTCAGACTGGAGTGCAGTGGCGTGATCTCGGCTCACTGCAAGCTCTGCCTTCCAGGTTCACGCCATTCTCCTGCCTCAGCCTCCCGAGTAGCTGGGACTACGTGCACCCGCCACCACGCCCAGCTAATTTTTTGTATTTTTTTAGTAGAGACGGGGTTTCACCATGTTAGCCAGGATGGTCTCAATCTCCTGACCTTGTGATCTGCACGTCCTGGCCTCCCATAGTGCTGGGATTACAGGTGTGAGCCACTGCGCCTGGCCGTTATCTTCCAATTTTCAAGAATGTGGCTGCCATATTTCAATTTGGGGAAGTAGCTTATGGATTAGCCCCAGGTAGTCACTACTGTTACTGAGAGTTAGCACAATAGGATTCTACTTCTACCTACTCTCAGTGTGATAGAATCAGAAACCACTGCTGATACCCCATTAGATTTCCATGGTCATACTGAGGTTATGTAGGTTTCAACGATCTCAAAAGAGTGGGGGTTCTTTATTAAGATGCCTGTAAGGTCTTTACAGAGAGCATCAATTCAGCAGATTACTGGGGCAATCTTCTCTAGAAAAGACAAGGCACTTCAGGTTTTAAAGTGGCCAGGTTGTGAGAGTCATGTTTGTGGTGATCTACGCAGACCCAACAAAATTAACATACTCCTGAGGCTTGAGCTAACAGCAGTTGGTATAAATAGCAGCTCAAAAATTCATTTAGATTGCTCGATGTGAATATAATTTGCCAAGGCATGAATGAGGCAGAATAAAGAACTTAGTAAATCACCATAACTATGTGCCTAAATGAGGCAGGGTCTGAGCTTTGAGGCAAAGTGAAACGTTTCACTGCCCAACAGTTGAAGTCACAAAACCTTAGGGAAGGCTTGGCTTTCCTCCTGTTTTATTAGAGAAAGACACAACATTTCACTCCATATAGTGAAGCAGCCACAATCCCTGCAATTTATAAAGAGTGCAGGTGACAGGATAAGGCCAAAGGAAAGCATCTGAAATTGAAAGCAGTGATTTCTCTTAAATGCAGTCTTTTAGAAAGATCATTTAACCTAATTATGGTAGGTGCTGGCCTTACAATTCTAAGAGGCACTGTCCCAATTTTAAGAAGCTCACAGTCTTGGGAAAGGGAAAGAGTAAACAGATAAATAGAATGCAAGAACAAATAAATCACTTAAAAGCTGCAGAACCTAGTACCTTCCTACCACTAGTCGCTTTCTATTACTGAAAATAGAAAATGACCACACACCATCCCCTAGAGTCCTAAGAATAACTACTGGAAATACTAGACAATAGTTCCAATGTGAGACAATACAATGAGTCAGCTGCAGGCTTGTGACAACTTAAATTGTGAAGTCATAAGCGAGAGGGCTGATGGTCTAGTCTCCAAGAGAAGCAGCAGAAAAATCCTCGTATCATAAAAACAGAAGCATTTCCACAGAATCAAGCCATTTTGGGTTCACTTCTGGGATAATCATACAACAGATATCTGAGCAGAATCTGCTGTAAGCAAAGTTGTGAGACTTAGCACAACCTCCCTTGCATTGAGAAAGGTAGAACCTTTCTAAGCATTCAGAATTCTTTCTTCCCTGCCCCATGCAGATTAAAGTAAAACCTTTCATACATACTCCTTAAGAAATAAGCAATAGAGCAATAGTATGAAAGGCAAGAAAAAGTGAATGGATGGGTGTCTCAGGTGTTTCAGGGAAACATTAATACAGAAAAGCCCCTCACCAGAATGAAGAAGGAAAGAGAGACAGCATACACTACACCTCATCCCAGTGTAAGAAGAAAGAACAGGTTCTTTCTGCTCCAATTAGACTGAATAAAATGACAAAACCCAAATCCTTCTGGTAAAATTTGTTTTAAAGAGATTACCTAAAGATTAACTCAAATGACTGAGCAGAGTGTTAAAGCCCAGGCTAGATATTATGGAGAGAAAACAGATTTGCTGTAAAAATGCTATCTAAGATATATTCAAGCACAGCTCCCTAACAACTCTGACACTTAGAAACACGCTGATTGCATTTCAGAAGAGGTAAAGAGATAGGGACCAGAAGTCAGAATTTAAAAAAAGAGTGGGCAATGATTGGAGGTAGAAGAGGTGAAGAAGCCACAAACACAGGAAAAGGGGGAAGAGGCAAAGGAATGACTATGTTATGTACATGTATATATGGAAAGCACACACTCACACACCCCTCTAAAGGGCACTTCTCATCACTCAAAACTTTTTAAAAAGACTTTACTTACTATGTGGCTTGGTTTGCATGTGTGATGATAGACCCAATATTACATATATAAATATATAACCACATATATACCACATACACACATAAACACACATACACAAATCTGTACAACACGTTTATCAACTACACAACATAAGCACTGACCAATCAGGATGGAGCAGAGTCCTTATGGTCACTGCTGGTTTAGTTGCCATATAGTGGGATTTCAATTAGAGTTGGGGAGTGATGGCAAAGATATGGGAGGGTTGGGACAGTAACAATGTACCAAACAAAATAAAAGAATTTCAATGTCCTAACAACTGGTACAGCTGTGCTGGTGTGAACCAGCTGATTACTAGCTACATGTATATAAGCATGTGTGCATAAGTGCATATACACACATGGAGGTCAGAGAGAGATTTAAGTCATTCTTTTTTTTTGAGACAGAGTCTCGCTCTGTCGCCCAGACTGGAGTGCAGTGGCCCGATCTTGGCTCACTGCAAGCTCCACCTCCTGGGTTCATGCCATTCTCCTGCCTCAGCCTCCCGAGTAGCTGGGACTAAAGGCGCAGGCGCCTACCACCATGCCGGGCTAATTTTTTTTTTTTCTTTTTTTTTTTTTTTTGTGTTTTTAGTAGAGATGGGGTTTCACTGTGTTAGCCAAGATGGTCTTGATCTCCTGACCTCGTGATCCACCTGCCTCAGCCTCCCAAAGTACAAAGATTACAGGTGTAAGCCACCGCACCCAGCCGATTTAAGTCATTCTTATTCTTTCTTCCTTTTTGAGATGCAGCTTCGCTGTCACCCAGGCTGGAGTGCAGTGGTATGATCTCAGCTTACTGCAACCTCCTACTCCCGGGTTCAAGCAATCCTCCTGCCTCAGCCTCCTGAGTAGCTGGGACTACAGGGGTGTACACCACACCTGTATTTTTAGTAGAGATGGAGTTTCGCCATGTCAGCCAGGCTGGTCTCAAACTCCTGACCTCAAGTGATCCGCCTGCCTTGACCTCCCAAAGTGCCGGGATTATAGGCGTAAGCCACCACACACGGCCTAAGTCATTCATATTCTTAATTATAAAATGAGTTCTTGAGGAGCCCTGATATCCATGTCTTGCATTCAGACTGTACTACTCACGACTAGTAATCCACTTTTATCAAGAGTCCCACAAACACTAAATTTAATGAAGAGAAACGTGACATTAGTGAAAATGGTAAAGACCTCTGAAAATCCTCTCCACCATGAAAAACAAACAAACAAAAAACATTGGTACACTGGCAAACAATCACCAGCATCAGTTTTTCTTTTTTTGAGACGGAGTTTCACTCTTGTCACCCAAGCTGGAGTGCAGTGGTGCTCATTGCAACCTCCACCTCCTGGGTTCAAGTGATTCTCCTGCCTCAGCCTCCTGGGTAGCTGCGATTACAGGTGCCTGCCACCACGCCTGGCTAATTTTTTGTATTTTTAGTAGAGATGGAGTTTCACCATGTTGGCCAGGCTGGTCTCGAACTCCTGACCACAGGTGATCTGCCCACCTGGGACTCCCAAAGTGCTGGGATTACAGGGATGAGGCACTGCGCCCAGCCCTTTTTTTTTTTTTTTTTTTTTTTTAAAGACAGGGTCTTGCTTTGTCACTCAGGCTGGAGTGCAGTGGTGCAATCTTGGCTCACCGCAACCTCAGCCCCCTAGGCCCAAGTGATCCTTCCATCTCAACCTCCCAAGTGCCTGGGACCACAGGTGCACACCACCGTGTCCAGCTAATATTTTTATTTTTCGTTAAGACAGGGTTTTACCATCTTGCCCAGCCTGGTCTCAAATTCCTGGGCTCAAACTATCCACCCGCCTTGGCATCCCAACGTGCTGGGATTACAAGCATGAGCCACTGCACCCGGCCAGTTTTTTCAATACGGTAGAAATTAACCAAAGGCTTGCAGAAATTGGAGAATGCATTCAAGAAAAACAGCTGAAACTCAGTAAGAACAGTGAGTTCTGTGGTGCTTTAAACTCCCCTATTCCAATCTGCCCCTCCTACCATCCCTTCAAAGCCCCATTCCCAAAGAACTGTCATTAGCTGACCTGTTCAGAGGTCACACTCGCATGGCTGTCTTTATTTGACCTGACCAAGAGCTCATCCACTGCAAACAGCCTTTTCTCCAAAAGCAATTGTCAAAAACATTAAGGATAACAGTTTAGGCAAACAAGAGACTAACTAAAAACCTTATAAGGAAAAGCTGGAGAATGAGATGTTCATGGAGAGCTCTGACAACTTGACATATTCCTGGATGGGATCTAGGAGGCCACAGTGCATGTGTGGGCTGTGCACATGCTCAGAAAAGATCTGATAAAGCTCTTGTTTAGCATATCATCATGAAATATAAAATGGGCAACCAGCGGCCCTCAGGGCTGCTCTGTCTATGGAGAAGCCATTCTTTTATTCCTTTACTTTCTTAATAAACTTGCTTCCACTTCACTCTATGGACTCTCTCTGAATTCTTTCTTGTGTGAGATCCAAGAACCATCTCTTGGGGTCTGCATCGGGACCCCTTTCCTACACAGTACTGCAGCTCAAAACAAAACAAAAAATATCCCCCACACAAAAAACTCCGGACCACGTGGCCTCACTGGTGACTTGTAACAAATGTTTAAAGAACTAGCTAATCCTTTACAAACTCTTTGAAAATATAAAAGGAACACTTCAAGTCATGAGGCCAGTATTACCCTGATACCAAAACCAAACACAAAGATATCAGAAGAAAATAAAACTACAGACCAAATTTAAATTAAGATCTTTTGCTCTCTAAATTTGTAACTCAGTGATAAATATTTTTAAAAACACTCCCAAATGGCTGATGGAGACTTAGATGCTCAGGTGATGCCAAAAACAAAAAACAAAACAAAACAAAACAAAAAACCCAAACCAAAAACAAACAAACAAAAAACAATTCCACCCAATGTGTAGTTCACCCAGCTGGGCCTGGCAATGTTAAGCAATTTTTCCTTTAACTCCCCCGACTTCCTCCGCCTTTGATGAAGTCTGAAAAGTTATTCCACAGCAAAGGAAATGCTTCAAACTCTATAGTCACATCCTCAAAAAGTTTTACTCCGATGACCCAAACAAAACGCACACACAGCCTTTTGAATTATTTACACTTTATCTATTCCTGACTTGATAGACATACTGTTTTTTTCCACTGTGGCTATCAGGAATAATGCTACTATGAAGATAAAGTTGTTAAAGTAATTGTAACATAAACTCATCTTTTAAAATGTTTGTCTTACCCGCTACCTAGTTTGCTGAGGAAATTGACAAGGTTTATGCCTCTTTTTATGCTGTTGCTGTCTAGGAAGTTGCCTTGTATGTAGTAGGCCCTCAAATAATTGTTGATTAAAGCATAATTAACATCTGTTTTCTAATTGTGATTGACCTCCTTTTCAGTGCTTACTAAGTAACAACAACTGGATAGAACCATAGCCTTCAGAAGACTCCTGAAGTGAGGCAGCAAGCGGAAGGGCTAAAAGAAATTTTTAATTCTGAGTAGCCAGACGTATAAAAACAGACCAAGGCTTTAGTGTATTGGAGCTTTTTGCACACTGACACTCGTGTGGGCTCTGTAAGTTTTGGTGAAGGGTAGAGGAGTGGGCAATTTTATATGTTGGTAATATTATGATGTTGACTGATCTCCTTTGATTACATTGGCATGGCAGTAGTTGACATTACCATGTCCTAATCATGTAAGTGTAGTATCTGATAGATACTACCAGGTTTCATTTAAGAGATATAATTATGCAGAATGTCACTTGATGCTGTGGAGAGGGTTGAATCACAACTGCTATTTCATAGCCAGGAAATTGAGATCAACTGATTTTACTTACTCGGATAAGAAGTAGTTGGCTCTAGGGAAGCTAGAAATGGAAGTCTCTGTCTTTGATTCATTTTATTAGATTAGTGTTTCCCAAACTTGGCTGGTCATCAGAACAATGAAAAAGTCATTTTTAAAATACAGATTCCTAAGCTTAAAGTCTAATTCTACTGATTCAGAATCTCTAATGTGTCAGGCTGCAATGATTCTATGTATGCTAGTGGTAGTAATGTTTGTTTTTGCTGCTAAGAAAGTCCAAAGGGAGCCTTATATCTGACTGTCAGAGGAGTGGGGTTTCGGAGAATAAGCTAGGTCGGCTTCCATATCTAAAAAGGGAAGTAGATTGAAGATACAACTTATATAGCTGTCACTCATGCTAAGTGTCTATCAAATCACGAATAAAGTGCAAATAATTCATATGTCATCAACTCATGAATGGATAAATAAAATGTGGTAAAGTGGAAATAATCCATGTGTCATCAACTCATGAATAAATAAATAAAATGTGGTACAGTCATACAATGGAATATTATTCAGCAACAAAAAGAAATGAAGTGCTACTGCTACAGCTTGGATAAACTAAGCTAAAAGAAGCCAGTCACAAACGACCATACATTGCATAACTCCATTTATATGAAATGTTCAGAATAGACAAACCCATAGACAAACCAGCAGTCTGATGGTTGCCCAGGGCTGGGGGAGATTAAGGGAAAATGAGTGACTACTAATGGGTACTGAGTTTCTCTTGGGGTGATGAAATGTTCAAAAATTGACTGTGGTGATGACTGCACAATTCTATCAACGTACTAAAGTCCACTGACGCTGAATTACCTGATACGTGAATTACGTTTCAATTAAGTTGTCACAAAAAACCTTCATGACATTATCTATTAAAGCTTCATATATGTGTTCCCTATGGCCATAACTCCTCTCCAAAATGTATACCTAACAGAAATGCACATATATGTTTTTAACCAAAATTAAAAATTCATAGAAGCACTATTTACAGGCCATGGGCAGTGGCTCATGCCTGTAATTCCCAACACTTTGGGAGGCTGAGGCGGGCAGATCACTTGAGGTCAGGAGTTCGAGACCAAACTGGCCAACATGGTGAAACCCCATCTCTACAAAAAATACAAAAAAAAAAAAAAAAAATTTTAGCCAGGCATGGTGGCTCTCGCCTGTAATCCTAGGTACTGGGGAGGCAGAGGCAGGAGAATTGCTTGAACCTGGGAGGCAGAAGTTGCAGTGAGCTGAGATTGCGTCATTGCACTCTAGCCTGGGTGACAGAGCAAGACTCCGTCTCAAAAAAAAAACAAAGAAGCCCTATTTACAACAGTCTGAAAAAACAAACAAAACAACAAAAAACTTCACCAATAACATATAACCACACAATGAAATAGTACACAACAATGAGAATGAGCAAAGGATGGCTCCATGCAACCACATGGATGCATATCATTAACATTATTTAGGGCAACAGAAGCCAGACACAAAAGAGCACATAAGGTATGATCCCACTTAAATACAGCTCAAAAGTGGACGGAAATGAACTGTGGTGTTATTAATAGAAATCAGAATAGTGCTTACCACCAAATGGAGGGTGGCTAAGGGTGGAAGGGGATATGAGGAAGGTCTCTGTGGTGCTGGTAATGGGTTCTACAATCTGACTGCCAAATACACAGGTGTGCCTCCTTTTGAAAATTTATGCAATTGCATACCCATCTACCTTGTTCATTTTTCTGGATCATATATATATATTTTTTTTTCTGGATCGTATATATGTATATATACGTATATTATATATATACGTATATATATATATACA
This sequence comes from Homo sapiens, assembly GCF_000001405.40. Taxonomy (NCBI): domain Eukaryota; kingdom Metazoa; phylum Chordata; class Mammalia; order Primates; family Hominidae; genus Homo; species Homo sapiens. The sequence continues at coordinate 90,456,922 of NC_000015.10, read as the reverse complement.
CACACACACACATATATATATATATATATTTTTTTGAGACGGAGTCTTACTCTGTCCCCCAGACTGGAGTGCAGTGGCGCAATCTCGGCTCACTGCAACCTCCACCTCTCAGGCTCAAGTAATTCCTGTGCCTCAGCCTACCAAGTAGCTGGGATTACAGGCATGCACCACCACGCCCAGCTAATTTTTGTATTTTTTTTTTTTTTTTTAGTAGAGATGAGGTTTCACCATGTTGGCCAGGCTGGTCTTGAACTCCTGGCCTCAAGGGATCTGCCTGCCTTGGCCTCTCAAAGTGCTGTGGGATTACAAGGCGTGAGCCACTGCGCCCAGCCCTGGATCTTATATTTCAGTAAAGAATTTACTGAAAGAGACACAAAAGACTGTCAACAACAAACAAAAGAACAAAAACCCAAATGTGTAAAACAGCATGAGCTCCTAGTAGGTGGAGCCTATGTCTCTCACATTTTTGTGTCCCTCCAGTGCTTTGAATCTAAGGGTGCCCAGAAGGCATTCACTGAATGAATCAAGGAAGATATTCCTACCTCTACCTTTGTTCTAGGAGGGCTGAGGTGCTCTGAACATAAAGAACAATTCCGATGCCACTCACCTGGGCTTTCTCTCTCTTCGCTCTAATCAGCGTGTCTTGGTAATGCTGGGCCACTTCTGCAAGGACTCCCTCAAGTTTAGCTGCAGGAATCTGTAGGGCCTGCAGAGTCTTTTGGGCATCACCTTCATCCAGGGCTTCATTAATTAAACCAATGGCTAAAATCCCTAAATATAAAGAGACAGAAAGTTTTTTTTTTCTAATTAAGGAAGTACATAAACAAATCAATCATGGAACATGCTAACTAATCATAAATCCACCTAAGAGTAACCATGATTCAAACTGCAACTTACCATCCGTTAAGCAGCACTGTTTTCATTTTTTAATTAGTATTTATTTCAACTAAACTCACTTGTATTCATATTCCTATTGAATGCTCAAGTCCTTTTGTTTCATTTTTAATTGCTCTAACTTAAAAGCGATGAGGATTTTTATGAAACTGGCCTTACTGTATAGCTTTCAGGTACACTGGAATGTGTAATCAAAAACATTCTTGAGTCACAAAGGATTCACGAAGAGTCTTAAAAAGGTTCAAGGGTTCTTAAAAAGTCATCTAATTCAACACTTTTATAGAAGAAATAACAAGGCTTAGCAATCTCTTCTCCAAGATTACACAGCAAACAAATGGCAGAAGAAAGATCCAAGCGCAGGGCTCCCTAATGCGAAGCAAGGCTCTTCCCACCAAGTCAGTTGAATATTTCTCCCAGGAAATACAAATTAAAATTAGGAACGTTCACTCCCCAGGTATCTTAGGCAGCCGTACTGCTTTTGTAAGGACTCTGCTGTATAATAAAAAGTCTGGCTGGTCTTTGTCTCTGGGGGAGCGTCTAAGACCCTTGGGATATCCTGAGTGATAGGTATGTTTCTGTGATTCATGGTGGGCCCCTCCGCCCACACCTGAATTTATGCCAACCAATGACTCCTGGTTGGCCTCATGAGAGTTTAAGGATGGAGGCTGGCCATGCTGGAAAGATCAACCACTGAGGTATAGAGTCACGTGATACCAGCCTGGCCTCCCATTCTCCAGGGAGCAGAGGCCAAATGAAAATTGAGTTTAATCGCAAAGCCAATACTATCAATCACGCATATGTAACGAACCCAAATAAAAACTCTGGACACCCAAAACTCAGGTGTGTTTCCCTGGTTGGTGATACACGTCAATGTGCCAGGAGAGTGACACATCCTGAGAACACAGAAGCTTCATATTGGGGACTCTCACAGATATTGCCTGATGATTCTCTTCTTTCAGCTGATCCTGATTTACATATTTTGTAATAAAATTTTAATCGTAAGTCTAGCATTTTCTTGAGTTCTGTGAGTCATTCTAGCAAATTATTAAACCTGAGCGGGTAGAAGGGATCCTCCAAATTTGCAGCCAGTTGTTCAGAAGTACAGTGGCCTGGGAACCCTGCAGCTTTCAGCTTGTGTCTGAAGTGAGAGGAGTCTTGTGGAGGACCATGCCTACAACCTGTGCAATTCAACCTAATTCCATGTAGTGTCAGGACTACTTGTTATAACAGCATTTAAAAATAACAGATCATGTTCAATTCACCTCCCCCAAAATTTAGTTCTTACTGGACATATACCTAATTATAGCAATTGCCTGGTGTTCTCAAAACAATATCCAACTTTAGCCTTTTGTGTTATATAGATATTTTCAATCTCTCACCCAAAAATCCTTCTAGGAGTAGTATTTTGAACCACTTCATGGAATCACATCATCATTAATGGTGACATTATTTGGGGAGGACAGGAAGATAACTCACTCTCATGTTCCTCTTGCACCACCAGGTTCACATGGTCCACGCAAGCTTGGATATCATTCCATGTAATGAATTCATTATTCTCTGCATGTGCCTGAGCCTTCAGTTTCATCAACTCATCGAGATACCTGCCCCAGACCCCCAAGTAAAAAGAGCATTAAGCACAGCATGTTTAAATATTCAAGGAACAAAGATTGCTAGGGTATCCCAACCATTTGATATATTCTCAAGACCAGTTTTGGAACTGCACAGTTACTTTAAACAAAGTGCAAAAATGCAACAGAAATCACTTATTCTCAATATCCTGTTACATATTCTAAATTCCATGTTAAGACTAACTCTAGAATTAAAGGCAGCAGTTCAAGCAATTCCTCCATAGACAAGAAAAAAAGGCTACACATGAGCTAATAAATGCAGGAGGAATGACAGAGCAACAAATCATCATTCAGCAACTTTTACTGAAGGTACTGATTTAGGAAAGATTATCAATTGGGTTAAAAATATCACGTGAATGCTTAATGGAAAACTAGATATTTTGACGGTGCAAAAGAGATGATGTTCTAGTGATGAGGGAAAAGCGTAAATACGCAATGGAAGTATAAGTGGTCTCCCTAATCCAGGGATCAATCTTAGTATCTCTAATGGTGGGATGGTGGGAAAAGTGGGTTTTATATGCCTATTGATATGAGGCAATATGAAATACACATCATCAAAAATGTTGAACTGAATCGTGACAAGCCTAGAAATTTAATTTCCAATTTACAGGAATAAGGCAAATATGAGAAAGCAACTAGAACTATCCATAAAATAGGCAATTGGTCCCATCCCTTTAACAAGTCAGTCTCATGAAGAAAGGGACAATTCTAGATTAAAAGATACTCAAGGGACACAACAGCCAGATATAATACATGTTCCTAGGCTAGATCTTGTTTTCAACAAAACAGCTATAAAGGACAGTTTGGGAACAAATGAAGAATGAAAATGAACTAGCTAGGGTTAGATGATATTTAAAAAGTATTATTTAACTTTGTCAGAGATAGTGTTATTTTGACTATGTAACATATTTAAGCCTACTTATATATTTAGGAACGGAATGTCATATTTTTCAGCATAACAAAGAATTAAGTGAATCAAAGTAGAACCAAACAAAAGTATGACCATGATAAAGTAATAATGCCTGCAAAGAAAATCGGAGCACTGACATACAAAAGACAGGGTTAACAGCTACGTAATGGATTTATTCCCTTCACTCTGGACACCCACCTCTGACAGTTTTCTTCCTCAATATTGGTAAGACCAGTAACTGAACTGCTCAATTGCTTCCACACTGTATTCACATCTCCTGATTCCAATGCCCTGTTGATCAGGGCCACCGATGACAACATCTCCACTGCGACAGAGAGCTCTGGGTGGGTGAGATTATGCTGTACAGAAAGGGACAGAAGGGAAAACAGTGAGGAAAGACATTCTCCAAGACCCAGGGAGTTATAAGTTTAATAAAACTGTAAGAAAACCAAGTTTATGCAAAAAAGTTCTACCTAACCACAGGAAGAAGTGGGTATTACACTCACGTCCACCCAACTTTGCTCACAAACAGGACAGGTTTAGTGAACTCACTTCAGGACTTTGTCGCTGCAGGGTAGCCAGCTCCTTCTGATAGAGATCGGCGGCAAATGGATACACCTGGGGCAGCTGGGCTTCGGGATTCATCAGTTCCAAAACAGTCTTCTCAGCAACACCCTTCTGGATTGCAGCATTAATCAGTGCTACTGCTGCCAATCCTGTGTAAAAAACAGGAGTCAGAAACGCAGTGGGCTTAGAGAGCCCTCAGGGGAAGAAGGTGCCAATCTTCATGGGAAAAATATCACATTCTGTGGCTATCAGCCATGAAGTTTGAAGTGGAACTTTCGTCTTTAAAAAAGCAGCCTCCTTTGTCTGAAGAAGGGTGAACTGTACGGTATGTGAACCATGTCTCAATCAAGATGTTTTCTTCAAAAAGCAGCCTCCTAACTGTTCTCCTCATCCCTATTTTCTTCCCGTTCAATTCATCCTATATGCTACCACTACTTCCCATCTAAACCACCTCTTCCTTCTCCTACTGCCTGGCTTCTTAAGCTACCATTCAAAGCTTTCTACAATCTTTCCACCCCTTGATCTTACACAACTCAGCCCAAAACATTTACAAAATTTGTATTCTAACCACCATTCCTCAAAGACATCTTTCACTACCTGTACTTCCGCTCCCACCTCCTTTTTCCCTCATTGTCCTGCACTAGGACGTTCTTTTCTCACCTCTTTCACCATCCAAATCTTAGCGATCCCTTAAGTCTCACCTCCTCCAGATATTTCCCTAACAAATCATGAAGTGTGTGCGAGCCAAAGTGAGGCTATATTGACTCCAGTTCTACCTTTAAAACTGGAGTAACTTGGCCAGGCACGGTGGCTCACGCTTGTAATCCCAGCACTTTGGGAGGCCAAGGCAGGTGGATCACGAGGTCAGGAGATCGAGACCATCCTGGTCAACACGGTGAAACCCCGTCTCTACTAAAAATGCAAAAATGAGCTAGGTGTGGTGGCACGTGCCTGTAATCCCAGCTCCTCAGGAGGCTGAGAGAGGAGAATCGCTTGAACCAGGGAGTCAGAGGTTGCAGTGAGCTGAAATTGTGCCACTGCACTCCAGCCTGGCAACAGAGTGAGACTCCGTCTCAAAAAAAAAAAAAAAGGGCACACAGACCAACAGAACACCATAGAGAACTCAGAAACAAAGCCACACATTTACAGCCATGAGGAGAACATTTTTTGACAAAGACACCAAGAACACACATCAGGGAAAAGACAGTGCTATGGTTTGGATTGGTTTATTTGTCCCTACCAAATCTCACATTGAAATCTGATACCTGACATCACCCTAAGGGTATGAAAAAAAAAAAGAAGAAACTTGATCCCCAGTGTGGTGGTGTTGGGAGGCAGGGCCTAGTAGGAGCTGTGTGGGTCATAGGAGCAAATGTCTCATCAACGGCTTTGTGCCATTCTCATGGTAGTGAGCTCTTGCAAGATTGGATTGGTTCTTGGGGAGAACGGATCAGTTCTCATTAGAATGGGTTGTTATAAAGCCAGGACCCCTACTCACTACCCCGGGGATCAGTCTCTCTTCACATGAGCCCACTTGCCCTTTGATCTTCTCCTTCATATTTTGATGCAGCACAAAAGCCCTCACCAGAAGCTGAGCAGATGCTGGTGCCTTGCTTCTTGCACAGCCTGCAGAGCTGTGAGCTAATAAATTACCCCACTTCAAGTATCCCTTTATAGCCACGTAAAATGGGCTGAGACAGACAGTCTCTTCAATAAATGGTGTTGAGAAAACTGGATAACCATATGCAGAAGAATAAAGCTAGATCCCTATCTCTCATAATATACAAAAATAAATCAAAATAGATTAAAGACTTAAATCTAAGACCTGAAACTATGAAGCGACTGGAAGAAAACATTGGGGAAATGCTTCAGGACACTGGTCTAAGCAAAGCCATTTAGCTAAGACCTTAAAAGCATAAGCAACGAAAGCAAAAATAGACAAACAGGACTATGTCAAGCTAAAAAGCTTCTGCACAGCAAAGGAAACCAACAACAAAGTGAAGAGACAACATATAGAACAGGAGAAAACATTTGCAAACGATCCATCTGAGAAGAGAACAATAACCATAATATATAAGAAATTCAAACAACAGCCAAAAAAAAAAAAACAAAAAAAAACCCCACAAATAATCCAATTTTTACATGGGCAAATAAGCTGAATAGATTTTTATCAAAAGAAGACACACAAATGGCCAACAGGTATATGAAAAAATGCTCAACATCATTAATCATCAGGGAAATACACATCAAAACCACAATGAGATACTTTCTCACCCCAATTAAAATGGCTTTTATCAAAGACAAAAAATAACAAATGCTGGGAAGGCTGCAGAGAAAGGGCTCATACACTGTTGATGGGAATATAAATTACTATAGCCGCTACGGAAAACAGGATGGAGAGTCCTCAAAAAATTAAAATAAAACTACATATGATTCAGCAATCCCATTGCTAGGTATATGGCCAAAAGAAAGGAAATCAGCACTCCCATGTTTACTGCAGCTGTATTCACAATAGCCAAGATATGAAATCAACCTAAGCGTCCATCAATGAATAAATGGTAAAAAAAAAAAAAAAAAAAAAAAAAAAAAAAAAGGTAGTGTATACACATAATGGAATATTATTCAGCCATAAAAACTGAAGGTCATTATGTTAAGTGAAATAAGCCAGACACAGAAAGGCAAATACCTCCTGATCTCACTCATATATGGGAGCTAAAAAAGTGGATCTCACAGAGGTAGAGTTGACTGGTGGTTCCCAGAAGCTGGGAAGGGTAGTGGGGAGGAGGACATAGAGAGGTTGGCTAACGGGTACAAAATTACCATTAGATACAAGGAATAGGTCTAGTGTTAGATAGCACAGTAGGATGATGATAGTTAACAATAATGTATAGTTCAAAACAGAAGAACTGGAATGTTCCCAACATCAACAAAAGATAAATGCGTTAGGTGACAAATATTCCAATTACCCTGATTTGATCATAATACATTGTATGCATGTATCAAAATATCATACGTCAGTGCTTCTTGGTTGGTGTCAGTGCTTCTTGGTTGGTTTAAAAAACAAAACACATGTACCCTCAAAATATGTACAACTATTACACAGCAATTAAAACCACCACAACAACAAACTGGAGGAACCCTCCTGCCACCAAAAGTACCTGGCAGTTGGTTATGGCTAGTAGGCTCAGAGTGGGTGATGACGATGACAGAAGCTAACCTCAGACCCTTCAATAACACAAAGCCACAACTTTCCTCCCATACAATTTCAATGGACTCTTACTTCTCTGATATTGCTGGGCAGCACTGTTTGCAGCATCCACTCCAGACTGCAGCTCCTCCTTCTGCAGGGGGTCAGTCTGACCACTCTGAGCAAAGCAAAGAAAATTATGTAAAGATTACTCATTCCTATGACTCCAGGCCTTAAGGTTCTCATCTCTCAAAAGCAGTCACTAGGGACAGAGAGAGCCATAGTCATAAGTGACAGCTCAGGCTACATGCAGCCAAGGTGGCAGCCCCAGGTAGAGCCAAATGCCTTTGCCAAAGCTGGGGTAGAGTGACTTTACAGATACCAGTACATTCTTAAACATATTACATGAAAAGCCTCAAAAAGTTCTAAGGAAAAAGTGTTTGTAGAATCTTAAGCACGTTAATGCTACTTACTTTGACCAACGTACGCTGGATATTTGTAAAATGTATACTTGCCCTTATTTAGACAAAAAAGAAAGCCCCTCATGTTTGTTCTAAAAAAAAAAAACCCACGAAATACAATCCCACACAAGCTACCCTGACTGCACAGTAAGTACTTTTCCAGCTTTGGCCAGAGCAAACTAATAAGGTGCAGTTTTTTTTTAAAGTGCAAATTCCTGACGTAAGAATGCAAAAATATTCAGGTTTTCCCCAATGTCTTTTAGTTGGAGAGAGAGACAGCTGAAGTGAAGGAGTGATTAGACTGGGGATGGGTGGGTATTGTCTGTTTATCTTAAAAGAGGATTCATAGCTCTAAAAGCAAAAGTGAGCTGAAGACAATGTGTATTTTACCTGAGGATTTTTTTTTAAACTAATTTATATGCAGAGGAAAAAGTCGTATTGGGGGAAAAACAAAGGCAGCATATATATCTTTAAATGACAGCATGGGATTCGAATGGATATATACAAACTCTTGCAGCTTCAATCCAGACTATGTTTACCTGTCTCTTCTGCTGTTTATCACTCAGGAGCTGCTTCAAGTACCAGTCGCTATTCTGTTGCTGCAGTCCTCGAAGCCCCAGGGCTGGTGACTGCAGAGCCCTGAACAAGGCCAGTGCATCTCCTTGTTCTAAAGCCAGGTCGATATTTGCTAATGCAGAAAATGCTGAGGAAAAAAGGCAAAAGCTTGTGAAAGGACTATGTTAACAGAAGAGCCTAGAATAGTTTTCCTTCCCCAAAACCAATCTCAGTTCCAGATAAGGAAATATAACTCAGAGAGCCTTTACTCTGTGATTCTCAGAAGCATAAGATCTTGGGATTGGAAAAGAACCTTAGAGTCATCAAGTCCAGGGGTTCCCAACAAGCTATTCATCAGATTTCATACAGATTCCTGGGCCACACTCCCAGCCTACTTAAAAACTTCCAAATGTAGACAGCTCAGCACCAATATGGAGCCACCAATCCAGACCAACATGACGCTTAAATTCCCTTAAAATGCCAAGTAGTTGTCCAGATTATACTTACAGACTACCAAACAGGAGAAAGTATCTCCCGTGGCCACTTACTACATCTTTGGACAATTTTGTTTCAAAAATATTTTTAAAGCTCCAACCCTAAAGTTCACACTGAATACATTCCACTGCCCCTCCCTATGACAGCAAATGCCTTACTAGCAGCCTTATTTCCTTTAACCATGTCTTACATAGCACCATTTTGAATCCTCTCATTACCCTGATACTTCCTGAACACACTCCACCCACAACAGTCAGTGCCCTGCTATCAAGGGTGGTCCAACCTGTGCAGAGTGAAAGGGGTCATCTTCCCCTTTCCACATTCTCTCTTCTAATCATAGAACCTGAGGTCACACAAGCTCTATAATACAATACATGACAATGAAAACCCAGATGTTCCTTCATCTGAAAATGATAATGAAGATACCTTCCGTCATAGGAATATTTTTAAGATTAAATAAAATCATATACATAAAAGCACTTTATATATTGTAAAAAAAACAAAACAAAACAAAAAGGTATTCTTAGCCTGAAAGACAGAATAAGATAATTTCTGATTTCAGAAATGATAGCCACTAAGGAATCATAATTACTTTTTTACTTTCCGTTTCCTTATTTTTTGAAGAGAAAATGCCTGTCCCTACCACCACTCACAGATAAACATCTGATTTTATCACAGTAGCAAAAAGAAATCAATAAAATACCAAAAATAAAAATATCTGGGGCATAATAGTACTTATCAATTGCAAATGTTTTCATTAGTAAAAAACAAAATAAAATTAATAAGCTGTTATAAAGAAAATCAAAACAGCCCAAGGGAAAATAAAGTCTCAAACTAGAAAATGGGAAGTAGGGGCAATGAGGAGACTAGAACTATTTAAAAAAAGGGCGGAAGAAAAGGTTAAAACATTGGTATGGATGTGAGGTCTCACTGTAGGCTCCTAAGATACTGTTTATTTCTTCCTAATATTCATACCTGCCATTCAACTGAGCACCATACCAAGGTGGTGGCTTCTCAAGTCATGTCTGCAGGTATATGTGGCTGTTAGCCAACTAATCATCCATTCCTTCAATGATATTTACTGAGGATCTGCTATATGTTGCAAATATAATTGTGAAAAAAACAAATATCCTGTCCTCAAGGAGCTTTCATAGTAGCTAGGGACAGAAAATAAAATCAATGTAGATAACAAACTAGACTTTCTCTAGGTATATAGCATAGAGTCTTAGATTATCTATCTACAAAAGCATCTAGTAAATTTTGCTTTTTCTAGAAGTGTACACATACTACTTAAATATGTAAATATTAAATGAATATCTATAAACATTTATATTGCAAACATAATAAAGTGTGGAACATTACTTAAATACTTTCTCTCACTGAACTTTAGTTATATAACTCTAATTTTCCTTAGTCTACTTAACAAAAAATAAAATAAAAACTTTTTCTAATTTTTAACTGCTTGGCCTGCAGCTTTCTCCTGGGGCAGCATCAATGGCCTCATTGCTGTTTCGAATGCTCTAGGCAAAGAATCTTATCTATAATTACATTAATTCCTGGAACCCGAAGTCCCTATATCCTCCTGGCATCTAACTTTCCTTTGCCTCAAGACTTTCTCTACAATTAGGAAAAGACTGTCCTTTTATAGGGAATTCTGCCTTATCCTCACCCTCTTATCTATCCTAAGGATCCCTGTGAAGATCCATGTACACTGAAAACCTGCTCAAACTTCTAAGCAGAAGTCATCATTCCCTTCTTTATTCTATGACTGCACCACATGTGCTCTTGGCATCTTGCTCTAATCAAGCTGCCCTAAAAGTACTCATTTGTATGTCTATCTTCCCCACTATACTGAAAGGTATTTGAGGGAATTTTTATTATTTTGCTCCTCTGACTACATAATAATAATATGAATAGGACATTTTAAGAACATATTATTATTTCCTTACATGTGCTCACAACTGATTCTTATACAATTAGCAAGGTAAAACTATAAAGGTTATAAAATACCAAACAGTAAGGTAGAGAAAAATCCCTCAGTAAAACAAAAAATATTTTATGTACTCTATGCAACAGGAAACATCGTGGACTTTCTTCTCACAGAGAACCAACCATAAGGACACTCCAGTTTATATTTGCTGACTTAAGGATTAATACAGATTCAGCACAAGATACCATCCACACTTGAATGGATTATTCTGCTAGGAAGGTCATTATCCTAAATGAACCAGAAGGTAGCAGAATACAAAGAATGCTGGTCATCCACTCAGGAGGCTGAGGCAGAAGAAATCTCTTGAACCCAGGAGGCAGAGGTTGCAGTGAGCCGAGATCGTGCCACTGCACTCCAGCCTGGGCTCTGTCTCCAAAAAAAAAAAAAACCCAAAAAAAAAGAATGCTGGTCAGGACTTAAAACTCCAATCCTATGCAATTGGTAAAATCTTCTAAATCCTCTCTAGTTATTAGTATTAGTTCAAATGAGAAATTTGGCCCTCCAAATGAACAATGAGAACAATTACTATTATTATTGTTATGAGTATCTTGAGCAAAACAAGATTAAGCCTGACCTAGTTGGTTGAAATCAAACCTTTTAGTTTTTTTGGTGAGTCTAAACCTATGCTAGGAATTAGGAGGACTTCAAAAGAAGCAGAATACGTAATCTCTACTTTAAGGAGTTTACAAAGATGTCAGAAATAAAGATCAAGCAATACAAGACAATATATAATTAAGTGCAAATTTATAGGGATGAGCCTGTGTACGACACAGGAGATTTGAAAGTCAACCATATTGAACTGTGACAGGCACTGAAGTGAAAATTGAACTGGATCTTGAATGATGGGTACAATTTGGATTAGGAAGAGATGAGGCATGAAGGCATTACAGTAGGGAGATTACATGACATAGCGATAATATTAATGTTCATTGAGTACTTACTAAATAGCAGGCAATTTACATACACTATCTCGTATTATATGTCTAACAACGCTACTGCAGGTGCCCAATGTTACACAGCTTTTAACAGAGGAACAAGAGATCAAATACCAGGTCAGTACCACTTCAGAGCCAGATTCTTTTTTAAAAAAAAAAAATTAATTAATTAATTTTTTGAGGCAGGGTCTCACTCTGTTGCCCAGGCTACAGTGCAGTGGTGCGAACACAGCTCACTGTAGCCTCAACCTCCTGGGCTCAAGCAATCCTCCTGCTTCAGCCCCCAAGTAGCTGGGACTACAGGCGCATGTCACCACGTCCAGCTAGTTTTTGTATTTTTTGTAGAGACAGGGTTTCGCCACATTGCCCAGGCTGGTCTCAAACCTAAGCTCAGGCAATCCACCTGCCCTGGCCTTCCAAAATGCTGGAATTGCCTGGCCCAGATTCCTTTTAAGTCATAAAATGTACAGAATGAGTATGGGAGGTAATTAGGCAAATGAGCTTCTACAAAGAGCTGTATGCATGAAATATTGCATAAAGAACTGCACTAGGCTAGGGATCTGCATTTTGTCTGGCAAGTATGAAGTAGTCATGGTGAGTTCTTTAGCAGAGTAGTGACAAAATGATAATTTCAATAAATTAATTTCCCAAAAGTAACACATATATAAAAGTCAATATTAAAAGTATAATCTCATTTTTGTTTAAATATGTTTTGGAGGCTGGGCAAGGTGGCTCATGCCTGTAATCCCAGCAATTTGGGAGGCCAAGGTGGCAGGATCACTTGAGATCAGGAGTTTGACACCAACCTGGGCAACAGAGCGAGACCCTGTCTCTTCAAAAAAATTTTAAAAATCAGCTGGGTGTGGCAGCGCATGACTGTAGTCCTAGCTACTAGAGAATTTGAAACAGAAGGATGGTTTGAGCCCAAGAGTTTGAGGCTGCAGTAAACCATAATCGCAACTGCAGCCTAAACAACAAAGTGTAACTCTGTCTCTTAAAGAAAAAAAAAAATATATATATACACACACACACACACACACACACACACACACACACAGTTTTGAAGGACATACAAAAAAATGCCAGTAATGATTATTCCTAAGTGATGATTATTTCTAAGTGAAGGAGTCTAATTTTTGTGGTTTATTTTTTATTTCTAGACAGCTTGCATTATTCTTTAAAGGAAAAACAAAAATATAATGTTACTTTAAAAAAATAGAAAAATATTTTTTTTTTTTTGAGACAGAGTCTCACTGTTGCCCAGTCTGGAGTACAGTGGCACCATCTCAGCTCACTGCAACCTATGCCTCCCAGGTTCAAGCAATTCTCCTGCCTCAGCCTCCCAAGTAGCTGGGACTACAAGAGCACGCCACCATGCCCGGCTAATTTTTGTATTTTTAGTAGAGATGGGGTTTTACCATATTGGCTAGGCTGGTCTCGAACTTCTGACCTCAGGTGATCCACCCGCCTTAGCCTCCCAAAGTCCTGGGATTACAGATATGTAAGTGCTGGGATTAATCAGCCACTGTGCCTGGCCAGGAAAATAATATTTAAAAGCATGTAATAGGGTGAAAGAGTGAAACTGTAGCCAAACAGACTACTATGATGCTACTGTCAGTGTAGGAACAAGCGGCTGACTGAAGATAAATAATTAAAACGGAGGCATAGAAACACAAAAGATTGTTAACAAGCAATTATTGCTAAACAAATCCACGAATGTCTAAAGTAAGTAAATCAAACTATGTTGTAAGTCCCAGAATAGATCAACATTCACATTATATTATAATATCCCTTTAGGTGCCTGATTCAGGAACATACTTACTATTGACTTTGTTTATATTGCCTTGAATTTCAGCTTGCGTGAGCAGCTCCTCATAAACATCTCTTTCTCTCTCTGAGTTTTCTGTCTGAGGATGAGTAAAAAGCGTAATTAAGTTAGCTTAAGGTGTCTAAGAAGACCACATAAATACACGTGTGCTCCTCCTGCACCATAACACTACCAAGAATATGGGTGTAGCTTAAGACCCTTTATAAAGAACAAAGCAGGCACAGTAACTCATGCCTGTAATCCCAGTGCTTTGGAAGGCCAAGGTGGGAAGATGGCTTGAAGCCAAGAGTTTGAGATCAGCCTGGGCAACATAGCGAGACCCCATCTCTACAAAAAACTTTTTTTTATTAGCCCAATGTGGTGGCACATGCCTGTAGTCCCAGCTACTCAGGAGGCTGTGACAGTAAGATTGCTTTCCCCAGAAGTTCAAGGCTGCAGTGAGTTATGACCGTGCCACTGCACTCCAGCCTAGGTGACTGAGCGAGATTCTGTCTTTTTTTTGAGACAGAGTCTCACTCTGTCACCCAGGCTGCAGTGCAATGGCACCATCTTGGCTCATTAAAAACTCTGCCTCCTGGGTTCACGTGATTCTCTTGCTTCAGCCTCCTGAGTAGCTGGGACTACAGGCGTGCACCATCATGCCCAGTTAATTTTTTTGGTATTTTTAGTAGAGATAGGGTTTCACCATATTGGCCAGGCTGGTCTCAAACTCCTAACCTCAAGTGATCTGCCCGCCTTGGCCTCCCAAAGTGCTGGGATTAGGGGCAGCACATCCTTGCCTCAGATCTGAGCAGAATGGGCACATACAGATCCACAATCCTGGAGTCTCACTGGTGACATAGGCAGAGGCAGGGCAGCAGCTACTTGCCTGCAGGCCAGTTTGGCACCTAACTGGGAAACTGAAATCCCTGCTCTATGATAAGAGATACAAAGAATGTTCTGAGAGCAGGATTGTCTTCGTTTTGTCATCAACCACTAATTTTAACAAGGGGTGGATAAATTTGTGTGAAGTTTTTTTTTTCCCCCCCGAGACGGAGTCTCGCCCTGTCTCCTGGCTGGTGCAGTCTTGGCTCACTGCAGCCTCCACCTCCCAGGTTCAATAGATTCTGCTGCCTCAGCCTCCCAAGTACCTGGGATTACAGGAGCCCAACACAACGCTGGGCTAATTTTTGACTTTTAGTATAGATGGGATTTCGCCATGTTGGCCAGGCTGGTCTCAAACTCCTGACCTCGGGAAATGAGATCCTCAGATTCAGTTTTTTCAAGTCAGAATCATTTAACTAACTTCCACATACCCATAACAACTGTACACAAACATTTTACCCCAGAGAATCTGGGAAAGAGGAAAGACTATGTTAATATTTAGAGATAATCTTTCCAAAGGGCACTATTAATTTTAATGGCTACGCTCTAGAATTTTATTTATATAAAATTCAAGAAGCAGAGGTCAAAATGGAGCCTCACACCAAAAGATTAGATACTGCATCATTCCATTTGTATAAAATTCTTAAAAAGGTCAATGGCAGCAATAGAAAATAGACTGGTAGTTGCCTGGGCTCAGGGGTGTGGGTAAGGTGGAAACTAATTGCAAAAGTGCACTAAGGAACTTTCTGGGAGTGATGGTTAAATGATCACATATACTTTTCAAAACTCAAACTGTACATTTAAAATCCGGTGAATTTTGTTGTATGTAAACTGCATCTCAATAAAACTGATGTTTAAACTGGAGCCATATCAAATGACGGAATAATATAAATTAATTAGAAAGAATAGATGTTGCATTTTTACCCTGTTTTTAGCATTTGTCATTTTGTCCTGCTTAGCCTGGTAAAGTATATCCTGGTAAGTGGATGCCAAGGGCTCTTCAAGATTTACAAGCATGGCATTCGGATTTTTCAAAGCTGCAAATGTGTCGGCTGGAATTCTACGGTCAATAGCTTCATTAATAGCAATAACAGCAGCATGTACTAAAAAAAAAAACAAAAAAACAAACCAACAAAAACACTGAGATTATATAGATTACAGGATGTATATCACAACAGAAAGCAACATTGCACCCCCCATTAGAGACAGAGGCTCCTTTTCACAGAGAAATAACAACTGGGGTTCGAAGACTGGCTCCCTGGGCCAGGCTATGAGCCTAGCCTCTTCCTTACAGTATGCAAAGCCACAGCTCCATCTGTGATCCATGTCTGGGATGGTGAATTTAGAATCTCACAGAGAAACACTCATAAGAGAGCCTTGCAAGGAACACTTGCTCTGGAGATATCTGCCTTAATTACCAAGTAAACACCATAAAACAATAAGAAACTCAATGAGCCACGGAAATGTAGGACTTCCTTTCTTTTTTTTTCTTTTTTTTTTTGAGACAGAGTTTCACTCTTGTTGCCCAGTCTGGAGTGCAATGGCATGATCTCGGCTCACTGCAACCTCTGCCTCTTGGGTTCAAGTGATTCTCCTGCCTCAGCCTCCCGAGTAGCTGGGATTACAGGTGCACACCACCATGCCCGGCTAAATTTTTGTATTTTTAGTAGAGACGGGGTTTCACCATGGCCAGGCTGGTCTTGAACTCCTGACCTCAGGTGATCCACCCGCCTTGGCCTCCCGAAGTGCTGGGATTACAGGCGTGAGCCACCACGCCCAGCCAGGACTTCCTTTCTAAATGCTTTCACTTTAATCAGAATTAATCATGTATTTCCAAATAATAACAGCATGGAAGACTATGTGTTTACAACTACATCTGTGGACTTAAACTTGCTGGCAAGATTCATAATGTCCTAGATCATCACTATAGAATTAATTATTGGAAATAGTGGCAACAATCCCAGTTGAACCCACAAAATTTCTCTCTTCTTACATGCGGCTTCATCCACTGACAGTTCATTAGCCAAGATGCCCCCAATCTTGCTAAAGGCAGGCATCTGGATGCCATACTTCTCCAACTCAGTCTTCATGTTGTTGATTTCTTCTTCTACAGGAGGGAATTAATAATCAGTCAATCAAGCTAAGCACCCTTCCATAACCAAGAGAAGGAAACATATTCCTCAACTATGCAATGGGATAAAATGGCATTTACCTTTTAGGGTTTTATAAGGATATAAAGATACAATGTATGGAAAGCACTTAACACAGTAACTAGTATATAAAATGTAGTCAAACGTTATTATTATCAAGGGCATCAAAAATAACTATAAAGTGAGAAGGTCCTACAGGAAATAGTTTTTCAAAATTGCTACTTATGGCATTTCCTACAATGAACTTATAAATGGAACAGCTTTAACGTGAGCTCAACAATAAGTGAATCACAAACTAAGTCAGTTATCTCAGTCTTTACAATCATTAGCTGCTATTCAACAATTTCATTTCTAAGGCAGAAAGCCAAATGATAAAGAAAACATGTAAGGTCTGGTCCTTTCCCCAGGTCTGGTGAATAACTTCCCTGGAAGGAAAAAATATCATGGACAAAAACTTTCTTACCAATTTTTAAACTTTCAAGCCTACAAAATAATCACCACTTTGAAAGACTTGAATCTATCTTACCCTTAAACAGTATTACCACTGCCCTTTTTCTCCCCAACCCCTCATCTCTTCAAGCATCTGGCTATAGCAAATACACATAGAAACACCCACCCAAATAAGCTTAAATTTTAAAATTACTAAATTGGCATCTTTGTGTCATCTCACTCCCCACTCTCCCTCTTGCTTTGCCCACAACAGATGCTTGCTGGAATGGAAAGGGAAAGATAGTTATAAAGCTTTTTTCAACATACCCGAACATTTAGTGTTATGTGTTAACATTATTATGTTTTATATATGTTAATGTTATCCCCAATTTACATATAAGAAAACTGAGACTCACTAATCATGTTCACATTATTAAGTGAGAGAACAGAGCTTGAAATTTCAAGTTTAGTGTTCTTTACCCCACATTAGAGAAGCAAGTTATTCGTATTTTTTTCACCTCCACTGCCAGTGTATTTTTAAAGCCCTAGGTCTTCAAAATTGGTACTGCTGGCTCTCCAGGCTATTTCCACATAATTCAAGCATTTCCTGCCAAGTATCTAACTCCTTACCTGTGAAGTCAACCTTTCCATATAGGTCTTGAATCTGAGGGGCCAGGCCTAGCTTGAACAGGTACAAACTAGAAGATACAATATGCAAAAGGTTAGGCCTCCCAGCTGTGCCTAGCTGCCACCCTTAAAAGGCGAAAATCAGCATGAAGTATAAAATAGAAGTATTCTGAACACTGAGACTCCCAGTACCTACGACAGTCTCCTTTGTAGTTACAATACGCTATTTACCTCAGTTTTTTTTTTTTAGTTTACATGACAACATTGTCCTAAAAAGTCACATAACACAATGCAAAGAGCACTGGACTGGGAGAAATCAGTAGGCACAAATTAAAGTCCCGGTTCTGGCACAAACTCAATGCATAATTAGATGTTAATGGCCAGGCACAGTGGCTCATGCCTGTAATCCCAGCACTTTGGGAGGCTGAGGTGGGCGGATCACCTGACATCAGGAGCTTGAGACCAGCCTGGCCAACATGACAAAACCCTGTCTCTACTAAAAATACAAAAATTAGCCAGGCGTGGTGGCATGTGCCTGTAATCCCAGCTATTCAGGAGGCTGAGGCAGGAGAATTGCTTGAACCTGGGAGGCAAAGGCTGCAGTGAGCCGAGATCACACCACTGTACTCCAGCCTGGGCAACAGTGTGAGATTCCGTTTCAAAAAAAAAAAAGATGTTAACATTAATGTTAATATAATGTGAAGTGTCTCTTCATTTGTTTGCCTTCCTGTAATCAATAAGTTTTAAATAATAAGACATTTTAGAAAAGCTTCATAAAAATGATTCAGATGGCAAATCTTACTTAAACTGAATTCATATTACTGATGGAAAAGTTTAATCCAGGTAATTTAACAGTTTTAGATAAAGAATATTTCATATATTTTTACTTTTTAATTATCAGGTTGGTGAAAATTATTTTTACTTTTTAAACTTAAAAAAAAATCAACTAGACTCTAAGCTTCATGAAAGCAGGGACAATACAGGGCTCATTCACTAATGTTTACCCAGAGCCTAGCATATATTAATAAACATTAATCAATATTTGACAGATGGATGGACGGATAAATTAATGTCCATAAGCCTGTGTTATTAAGTGGATTCTAAAGCCCTAACTGATCAGAATCAATAAATTAGAAGAGATCAGAAGGGTACTTTACAGATACTGACAAAAGCAAGATATTGACAGTTTAAAGTAAGCAGGGAAATAAGAAATATATAAGAAATAAATCATAGAAACTTAAAGTGGTATACAGTTTTTGTAAATAATCTATAAACCTCAATATCATCTAAATACAAACACGCATCATGTACACTGCAATCACAGAACTGATCAAAATTTAAATTGTATATAATAAACCCAAATGTATAATAGAAAAACAAAAATCAAGTATTCTCAAAACACACTAGAATTTATACATCCACAGAAGCTAAACATTTTCTCAGAGAAGTGCAAGTATAAGTCATGTGTATATGATTAAATGCTTTTCTTTCAGGTAAAAGACTCAAGATGGATATATAAAGCGCCTGTCTCAGAAGATTTTAAATGTATTCAAAAAATTCTCCAGACTGGGTGTAGTGGCTCACACCTGTAATTCCAGTACTTTGAGAAAGAGAGGCAGGAGGATAGCTTGAGGTCAGGAATTCAAAACAGCTTGAGCAACATAGCAAGACTTGTCTCTACAAAAAAAATTTCTTAATTAGCCAGGTATGGTGGTGCATGCCTGTAGTCCTAGCCATTTGGGAGGCTAAGGCAGGAGGATAGCTTGTGCCTGGGAGGTTGTTACAATGAGTCAAGATCACACCTCTGCGTTCCAGCCTAGGCAAAAGAGTAAGACCCTGCCTCTTTAAAAAAGAAATTCCAAAGCAAAATAACTAATAACTTTCTATATATTTTTATACATTTTTATATATTTTTTATATATTTTTCTCACTAATACATCACATCTGCATTCTTAATTAAGAGAATATTTTTCTCCAAGAATTTCTTTCTCATTTATTCCTACTTGGAAATAGCGAACAAGAAATTTTAAGAAAGTTCAAGAATGTTGCTGATATGGTTTGGGTCTGTGTCCCTGTCCAAATCTCATGTCAAATTGTAATCCCCAGGTGGGGGCCTGGTGAGAGGTGATTGGATCAATGGGGGCAGGTTTCCCCCTTGGTGCTGTTCTCCTAACAGTGAGTGAGTTATCGCTAGATTTGGTTTTTTAAAAGTATGTAAGCACCTCCCCACCTCTCTCTTCCTCTTGTTCCTGCCACGTGAGACGTGACTGCTTCCTCTTTGTCTTCTACCATGATTGTAAGTTTCCTGAGGAGGTCTCCCCAGCCATGCTTCTTGTACAGGCTGTGGAACCTTAAGCCAGTTAAACCTCTTTTCTTTATGAATTACCCAGTCTCAGGTATTTCTTTATAGCAGTACAAGAACGGACTAATACAGTTGCTTTCACAGTACCAGGAACACTGACTTAGCTTTTAATGTCTTTCAGTGGTAAATTAAAGGTGCTACAACCGTATCACTGGCTAATATAAAAAGTAGACATGGGCACCATCTTTCTTTTAACTCTCTTTAATTATTACGAGTATTTTATGGAGACACTGGAGCTATGAAAGGATTCAAAACGGCCAGTTAAGTCCTCTTACCCACAATCAAAAGTACTTAGCTTCACACTGAAACTTATAAACCCTAATGGTGAACAGCACTTTCCAATCTTTGCTCCTGCTCTCCCATGCCTACTTCTACAAATATACTGTTAGGCACTATAATGCGTCAGCCTGTAACTGCACTTAGATTTATTTTTCTTATTTCCTACTTAAGCTGTACTTTGTAGCAATGGGCAGAAGGAAGCTATGTTAATCTATCTGGATTCTAATTATCTTTTCTGTGAATGGTGAGTAACCTAGAAGTCACTATGCCAATCTCAAAGATTATTAATAAAGACCCTGAAACACAGCAGGTGATTAGGAAACAGAATCTACTACAGGTCCACAGTCCCTTATCCAAATTCTTGGAGCCAGATATGTCTGAATATTGAATTTCTCAGATATTAGAAAGTGTATTTCTATTTACAGTGTATATGGTATCATAAAGTATCCCCAGCAAGCCCTGGGGCAGCATCCTCAATCCAATCCATTACTTTCTGCAGAGAAACACACAAACATAATCATACTAAGGAGACAAATGAGCTTACACCAAACTTAGTATACAAGTATTTTGAGAATGGAAAACTGGGGTCTTATCTGAGAGTGGAATGTTATCTACAAAAGTAATTTAGTATGATTAAAGTACAGTGACTATCTCTGGAATAATGCCAATCAAGACTTTAGAGGAAAAAAAAAAAAAAAGGCAAGCAGGGAGGAGACAGAGAGGTAGTATTTTTCTGTCACTGTTGATCCAAAGGGAGATGGAGCCTTATCCAATATAGCAAGGTGAGGAACCTGCTTTGAACATGGCTGTGTTTTGTGGTAAAAGAAGGCACTTTCAGCAATTATAAATACTTCCTACATATTATCAAATGTTGCCAATCCACCCTTCAGGAAAAACACCATAAAAAAGAAACCATAAATCACGAAACACACTGCTCTATATATACTTTCTAAGCACAGACTACATATTCAAGAGAAATGGAAAACAATAGCAGACTTCCTCTCTTTCTCATTCTGACTCTACCACTAGGAAGGCATAGTTAATTCTTTAGGCTCTACTACAGAGAATTTGAGGGCCTGGAACCCAGGTTACACTGCAGAGTAGTGGCTACACAACTAGCAGAGAGGAATTCTGCTTCCACGTTCAGATATCCATTGCAGGTAAGGCCTTCACAAGATTATCAACATGGACAAATCTCATGCAACACTAAGCCAAACAAAATACTCAGAATTAATCTGATCTGGACTCAGACACACATATTTGGTAATGTTTTGTTTTGTTTTTTAGAGACAGAGTCTCGCTCTGTCATCCAGGCTGAAGTGCAGTAGCACAATCATAGCTCACTGCAGTCTCAAACTCCTCGGCTTAAGTGATCCTCCCACCTCAGCCTCCAGAGTAGCTAGGACTACAGGTGAATGCCACCATGCCTAGCTAATTTTTTATTTCTTGTAGAAATGGGGTCTCGCTACGTTGCCCAGGATGGTCTCTAACTCCTGGCTTCAAGCAATCCTCCCACCTTGGTCTCCCAAAGCACTGGGATTACAGGTGAGAGCCACTGTACCTACCCAGCCTCAGACACATATTTGAAATTGCTACATTCTCAACACGAGATCCACAAGTTCTCAGCTATATTCATTCTTTCATATGTTTCACACTGATTCCAATGATACCACAGATCTAGTACATGTTTGCTCAAGAAACTGGAGACAATAGTCTTCTTATAGATCAGTATTATATACCTACTCCAATGTAATTAACACTTAGCAAGCACACATAGAGGATGCCATATAAGAAGTGCAGCCCAAGCAAATATCTCACTCATGTCCCACTTGCTCTGCCATCTTCTTCTTTAGTCCTGTGGCCATCAAGTAAATCTGCTAAAATACTACACTACTGTACCACAGGTTGAGTATACCAAATCTGAAAATCCAAAATCCAAAATGCTCCAAAATCTAAAAATTTTTAAGCACCAACATGACCCTCAATGCTATAATTGGAGCATTCTGCATTTCAGATTTGGCATGCTCAACTGGTAAGTATAATGCAAATACTTCAAAATCCAAAACACTTCTGGTCCCAAGCATTTCAGAGAAGGGATATTCAACCTGTATAAGCATCTACTAATATGCCATCCCACCATCCTTCCAGACTTGCATCTTTTCCTTCCTATTTAATTTAGTGTTCTGGGGACCTGAAAATTAAGTCACATTCCAAATTTACCATGACATTATGGGAAAAAAATATATTTTGTATCATTTCTTACTATCATGTTTGTGTTGGTACAAAAATTATTATTATTATTATGATTATTATTATTTTTTTTTAGATGGAGTTTCGTTCTTGTTGCCCAGGCTGGAGTGCAATGGTGCAATCTTGGCTCACTGCAACCTCTGCCTTCCGGGTTCAAGCAATTCTCCTGCCTCAGCCTCCCGAGTAGCTGGGATTACAGGCACCCGCCACCATGCCCAGCTAATTTTTTGTATTTTTAGTAGAGACAGGGTTTCACTATGTTGGCCAGGCTGGTCTTGAACTCCTGACCTCAGGTGATCCACCCGCCTTGGCCTCCCAAAATGCTGGGATTACAGGCGTGAGCCACCGCATCCGGCTTATAAAAATTATTGAATGAATGAACAAATGGCTTAACAATGGCAAGGACCTACCTAACTAAACAAGAGACTGCACCCCAAGTGAATGCATAGTTCACAGAAATACTAGATCAATTATGAAAGATACCATGTTTTTAGAAGAAAATTACCTGCTATTAAATAAATAAATCCCTTCTCCAAACTCCCTAGAAAAACACAGCTGTTTCTCACCATTTTGTTCGGATAATAGTATTTTATCCTATTTGGAACTTTTGAAACTAATCAAAAAACTTTTTCATTCTTACCTCAAGGATAAAAAACTACACACTCAATTCAGATGTTATTCATAATTTCCTTATTTTGCCAAGAAAATTTGACTACCTGAGTGCATGGATACAGTAGATACATCTTGGCATGTTCTTTCGATCATAGATATCTGTAGTTTCTGGGTAAAAAATCTAGGGAGAAATAAAAGAAACAGAGTAAGATATCCATTCACTGTGTTCATCTGACATTCACCAATCATCAATAATCCAAATCAAACTATGGACAGTTAGAAAACATCGGTGGCATTCTTAGAAAACATCGGTGGCATTCAGCAAATAACTTCATTAGGGTGAACAGACATTTCATCATAAGAATTGCAAGGAATAAAGTGCTATAATACAGAATAAAAAGTACTACTTGGAAAATCTCTATTTGGACAACCCACTGAATTTCATTAGGTGTGAGAAGGTGATTTACTTATTTCAGACCCAGACACAGGCATATGAAGACCAAGTTCTAGTCCAGTTTAAATCACTGGACTGATCTGAGTATGAGGCTTTCAGAACTACAATGCTCCTAGTTACTATCTACCATGCCTAGATGGAGAAACAACTCAACAATGAACATTTACTAAGTGCTTTAGTTTGTGCAACCTGCTACATTTAGACATTGAAAAAAACTATAAAATATTAAAATGTGTTTAATGCTTAGGAGAAATGGGAAGCTACACAGATGAAGTAGCTAGAATAGAGCATGTATGAGGGAATTTGGAAGACAAGTACTTTTCCACGGTAGCACTTACCAAAATCGATCATTTGTGTTTATCTGTTTGGCTACTCCAACAGACTATAAGCCACACGAAGGCAGGGCTAGATCTATGTTATTTATTAACTGCCATATCTTTGATATCAAGCCCAGAGCCAGGGTCATGGAAGCTCTACATTCGATGAGTTAGTGAATGAGGTAGGATAGGAACAGAGTAGATTTAGACTGGGAATAGCCTTGAACTTCAAGGCCTATTCTCACAGTCATGTGGCACCATACAATTCAATCTGTAATTTAGGGAAATAAGGGGTGACAGTGGTTCGGAGAAGCAAAAGACTGAATAATGAGGTGAGAAGAATTTGGATAAGCAATAAAGGCCTATATTAAGACTGTGAAATCATAAACTAAAGAAATGAGTGAATCATGATAGAGAGCAAAAGGCCTTCCAAATAAGAGAAATAGCCAGAATAAATAAAGCAAAAATAATCATGATGTGTTTGTGAGACAGTAAGGCAATATACCCTATTGTTTTTTAAAATCTACAGAATACGTTCTAGAAAATAACAGAAAAATAAGGTTGGATAGGTAGGATAAAATCAGATTATTATAAGCAACTTGAAAGTCAGACAAGTCTGAACTTGATAAGCAGGACATAAAGAAGTAGCCTAGCTTTGGAGCTAAGGATAAAAATAGAGCCCTGGGGAGATCTGACTGGAGACAGGACACAGCATATGTTGAATAATGGGAGATGGGAGCTGGGGAGGTATGCTGGGAGGCTGTTGTAACAGTAGATGGATAAAAGAGATATTTCAAATAAATGGAGAAGGCTTAGGGAATGACCAGATTTAGAAGTTCAAGGTATCTCCAAGGTTTTGAGACTGGATGACTGGGAAAATGATGACATGGTACCATTTATTATAGAGGAAGGGAAGTTCAGTTGGGGAAAAGGTAGATTTAGTTTTAGATATGAAAAATTCTAGGTGACAGAAAGCTATCCAAGGAGAAATGTCCAGCAGCCAACTGAAGATACCGTGTTTATCTTATGTCAGCAAGTCTTGAGAATAAATGAAACCATGAAAATGGGAAAATGTATCTAACAAGGATTGCATCTTAAAGTATGTCCATCACTAGGACATGGAAGGTAGAATAATTAAAGAAAACAGGACTAGTTGAGCAGATTAAAAACAATTTTAAAAATCAAACTAAGAAATATCTCAGGGAAAAGGCAGCCAACAGTACCAATTATAATAAAGAGTCAAAAAGGATAAGAACCAAAAAATGACTGCATGAATTTTCTATAATAGGCCAGCATGTACCATATAAAGAGATTAGAAAAGACATCCCAATAAACACCATATACGTATTGTCAATTACGTATTATACATTATATTAAGAACAACAATACATTTTTAGGTTATCATTAGTTCTTATTACTCAGAAGTCTTCTGGGCCTAAACGTAGGGTGGACAATTCAAGGCTTACAGCCATGATTATCAAGTTGTTCCTGAAAGCCTTTAATACATTCTGTGTTTGTTGCAATTGTAGTCCAGGACAATATACTACTGTTAGTAAACCAAAAAAGGTAACAAAATTACATCATTAAAAAAGCATCTCGTAGTAACAACACTACTAGCAATTGCAAATATTAACAAAGCTCTTAGTAACATTCAAATGAGGTTATTGTCATTGCCCACTGGCAATATACTATATAAAAAACAGAAACAGGAAGTTACAGGTGCACAGTGTAATATTTTACACTATATAGCACAGTATTTTATACTATATTAAAAAACAGGGAAAGGAAATTACAGGTGCACAGACAGGCCACGTAGCTGTAAGAACTTGACGTACTGCATTTCCTAACAATTGTGGGGCCTAATTCTCAAACATACCAGTGGCAAGGAAGAGAACTTCAGAACTTTCTCTGAAAAAAAGAGGAGAAAAGCTAGTCTTCTGCAAAGACTCAGTTCTGATTTAACACAATTCCACAGGTATGTATGCAACAATGCATATCTGTTGTATATTGTATACATATCAATATACTATATACGTAATATATAATTACATGTTGTAATATATTGTGTATATATAATATATAATATATTGTATATATGATTATATATTACAATATGTAATTATATATTGTATATTATATAATATTGTAAAATTATATTACAATATATTCTATATTGTAATATATTGTATAAGTCATATATTTATCTATATAATATACATATTTGTATACAATATTTATATATTGCACAAAATACAAAATATAAAATGTATACAATATTTCTATATTGAACAAAATACAAAATATAAAATGGTTTTAGCCACCTTCTGATACCCTACACCTCACTTTTTTAAAATAAATTTTCCTTTGGTTACAAAAATTTGAACTCTACAGGAAAGTACAAGGAAAATAAAAACCACCCTTAATCCCATCACACAGAAATGAAAACCATTTTATCTCCTTACAAATTTTTCCCAAGAACACTCACTTTATTTTTACACAAAAATAGTGATCTGATCTTAGCTAGAACACAAACTCCTATAACCTTCAACCGTTTTTCCCCACTTAATACATCAAAGGCCCTTTACTTGGGTTGATATCCTTTTAAATGGCACTAGTATTTGGCTGTAACACAATTAATACCCCTTGTAAAGAAACATGTACTTTGCTATCAATTTTTTCTATCATAATCAATGCTAAAAAATCCTTCTGTATACATTTTTTTGGTGCTTTCTGATTATTTACTTCGGATAACTTCCCAGAAGCGGAATTCTTACGTCAAAGGATATAAACAGAAAAAAATGAGAACAAAAGAAAGAATGAAATCAATCAATCCATTCATGTCTCTAAGAGTGACCATACAGTGTGGCAGTTATAGATTCAGACAGGACTGGGATGGCAATTTCACTGAAAGCAACACTAAATAAACTCCTGAGCAGAACACCCAGAAGATGTACACTCCAAACAAAACTGCAGCCATGACCAAAAACAGATCCAGGAAGTAAACGTCATTCTACCACCTCTACAATTTAAAATAAAAAATGACCCTTCATACTCCCTACAGATTTCTAAAATATTTCCTTATATTTCCAAAGGTCAAATTTTAATGTTAACAACTTTGTGAATAAATAAAAACCACTGATTTGGTATTCTTTAAAATGGTGAATCTCACAGCATGTGAATTCTATCTAAGGAAAAATAGTAAAATGTAAGTCTACAATTTGATGTAGTAAAAGTAGATATCATCACAGGGAATTTCTCTAGGGTAAGATGAAACAGGTATGAGGATTATAAAAGAAAAAGAACAAAACTATTTCCTAAGTCAAAAAGAAAGACATCTTTTAGTATTTAAAAAAACACCAAAGATTCTGAGAATAATTTTACAGGTAGAATGAGAACAGGTTGTTTGAGGGTTATGCCACAACAGCTGGAACAAAGCCTAAACTATTATCTCAGGTAAGTTACCTTAGGCAATCCAATCTCATCCATGGCATTCAACCACTGAATCACATTATCAGTGTGTCTAAAGTGGAGGCCAGTCGCCTAGAAAAAAAAAAGAAAATTAGGTATTATTGGCTGTATTGAAGCAAATATTAAATAAAAACTCTCTTCGCAAAAGTTTCCTCAAGAGATTTGACAAATTTTCCTTAATTTTGATGTCATTATGCTCACATTCCAATACCAAAAAGCCAAATCCACATCTCAGCTCCTCTCACTTAGCAACTACCTGGAGAGCCTTCTTGTGTATAGTGTGCTCAACAGAACATGTGGTCTTTGGAGTTAAATTATCTTGGATTCAATTACTGGCTTAGTAATCTACTGGTGACACTGGAAAAGCCACTTCATCCTTTAGGGACAGAGTTTTACCATCTAGAACAGCTGCTTTGTATGTATAAAAACTAAGTGAGATAATGCACATGAACAAATTAGTATGGTGTCTGAATACATAGATGTTCACAAAATGCTGTATAAAAATACCACGCTGGGACGGTGGCTCATTCCTGTAATCCCAGCACATTGGCAGGCCGAGGTGGACAGATCACCTGAGGTCAGGAGTTTGAGATCAGCCTGGCCAACATGGTGAAATCCCATCTCTACTAAAAATACAAAAATTAGCCAGGTGTGGTGGTGCACACCTGTAATCCCAGCTACTCGGGAGGCTGAGGCAGGAGAATCGTTGAACCTGGGAGGCAGAGGTTGCAGTGAGAGCCAAGACGGCACCACTGCACTCCAGCCTAGGCGACAGAATGAGACTCTGTCTTAAAAAAAATCAATCAGGGCTTTCATTCTATATATACAGATATCCCCTCTAAACTTCAATGTCTGCTTTTTTTTGAAACAGGGCTCCACTTTGTTGTCCAGGCTGCAGTGCACTGGCACAATCGGCTCACTGGCACAATCGGCTCACTGCAGCCTCACCTCCTGGGCTCAAGCGATATTCTCACCTTTGCCTCCTGAGTAGCTGGGACTACGAGTGCATGTCACCATGCCCATCTAATTGTTTTTCTATTTTTTGTAGAGCGGAGGTTTCACCTTGTTGCCCAGGCTGATCTCAAACTCCTAGACTCAAGTGAGGGCTCCCACCTCAGCCTCCCAAAGTGCTGGGATTACAGGCATGAGCCACTCCTCCCAGCCATTTTTTTTTTATTGTTGCTGCAGAGTCTCCGCTCTCCTTTTACACTATCTTCCCATTCTGCCTACAGAATAGCTCCAGAGTTGTCTTCAGAATAACTGTGTATTCAAAACTGAGCAAAGGGCTGGGCACAGTGGCTCATGCCTGTAATCCTGGCACTTTGAGAGGCCAAGGTGGGAGGATAACTTAAGCCCAGGAGTTGGAGACCAACCTGGGCAACATAGTGAGACCCCCATCTCTACACTAAAATTTGTTTAAATTAGCCTGGTGTAGTAGCATGCTCCCATAGTCCCAACTACTAGGGAGGCTGAGGTGGGAGGATTGCTTGAGCCTAGGGAGGTCAGGGCTGCAGTGAGCCATGATGGCATTACTGCACTCTAGCCTGGGTGACACAGCAAGTCCCTGTCTCAAAACAAAAACCAACCAACCAACCAACAACAAAAAAAACCCACTGAACATATAAGTCTTTTTGTTTAAGGAAAGTTTCTGTTTATGATGTTAATTTTGGCTGAGTACCTATACCGTTCCTTGTTTTCCCTTGAATTTAAACATAAAACATAAAAATTATCTCTTTGACATTGTAGCCTTACTCATTCTGAGTTTGGGCCCAGTTATTACAGCTGACCACCCTTACATTTGGTCTTGGTAATGCAATTCTCCACTATCTTTCATAGTCATCATTTTTCAAATAAGGATTCACAGGTAACCTCTGTAGACAAGAAAATTTGGTCCTTGTCAACATCCCCATTTTTTTTTTGGGAGACAGAGTCTTGCTCTGTTGCCCAGGCTGGAGTGCAGTGGTGCTATCTCAGCTCACTGTAACCCCCGCCTCCTGGGTTCAAGTGATTCTCCTGCCTCAGCCTCCTGAGTGGCTGGGATTACAGGTGTGCGCCACCAAGCCTGGCTAATTTTTATATTTTTAGTAGAGATGGGGTTTCACCAAGTTGGCCGGGTTTGTCTTGAACTCCTGACCTCAAGTGATCCGCCCGCCTCAACCTCCCAAAGTGCTGGGATTACAGGCATGAACTACTGGGCCTGGCCCAACATTCCAACTTAATTAAGCAGTCAGTCTTCTTTTTTATAGCACCTTGAGATACAGGAATCAAACCCTCTCACTTATCTCAATTTTCTGAAACTGAATCACTTTCCCATTGTACCTTGAACTCCAGCAACGCAGGGTGATGTTTTTTCATGAAGTTACTTTTGCATTCAATTTGCCAACAAATCTCAGTGCTTAAAATTCATTTCTTTTTTTAAGAGACAGGTGGGAGTGCAGTGGCGCAATACTAACTCCCTACAGCCTCAACCTCCTAGGCTCAAGCAATCCTCTTGCCTCAGTCTCCCAAGTAGCCAGGACTACAGCATGTGTGACCATGTCTGGCTAATTTTTTTTTTTGTAAGACAGGGTCTCATTATATTGCCCAGGCTACTCTCAAACTCCTGGTCTTAAGTGATCCTACCACCTTGGCCTTCCAAGTACTGGGATTACAGGTGAGAATCAGTGTGCCCAGCCTAAAATTAGGCTTTCTTTTTTTTTTTTTTTTTGAGATGGAGTCTCACTCTGACACCCAGGGCTGGAGTGCAGTGTCATGATCTCGGCTCACTGCAACCTCTGCCTCCCGGGTTCAAGCGATTCTCCTGCCTCAGCCTCCTGAGTAGCTGGGATTACAGGCATGCACCACCACGCCCGGCTAATTTTTGTATTTTTGGTAGAGACGGGGTTTCACCATGTTGGTCAGGCTGGTCTCGAACTCCTGACCTTGTGATCCGCCCACCTCAGCCTCCCAAAGTACTGGGATTACCGGCGTGAGCCACCGCGCCCGGCCCCAAAACTAGATTTAAAGTGGTAATTCCCCTAGTTATTTCTTCTACCTTCTAAAGAATTAAAAAATTCATCTACAACTAGGAAAATTTCTAGATATATAACATCATAAGAATTCTACCAGAAACAAAGACAGCTAAAGTTCTTTTCCTAGTACATATTTTTTTGTGGGGGGACAGGGTAGGGGGGAGGCGGGCTTTCCAGATAAATTCTAAAAGAGATGTAATAATATTTGCCTAGTACATATTGCCTTTGCACAAATTTCTCCATTCTGCCAGGCATTTTAAAGGCTATAATTTGTTGCAACAAACACACCTTACACAGACTTCTCAATAACTCTTACACAAAATAAAACATGCTAACTTTCTCAAGTTGACAGAAATCTAAGCACAAAGCAAGGAAGGACTCACCTTGTATCTGGTCTGTTCTCGATCATAGATTTTTTTCAGGGACACTACTTTGGGAGAGAAGAAGTTCCCCAGTTTGGCAAGGTAGACCCCATTCCTAAGCCCCTCCTCCAGTTCTGTGGTGGGAGGCAGATCTTCCCCTAGGCATGCTTCCATCCACCTGCACCAAAGGAGAGAGGATGCAAAAAAAGAAAGGGAAGGTCAGAACTTTTCCTTAGAGATTTTAAGCTTTATTTCCATTCTCCTTGGAGAAGCTTAAACTGAACATAATAGCACTCTTTTACAATCAGTTCCACACACATCCTTTCCCTGCCTGGCCCAGTCAGATCTCAGAGGCGGGGAACTTAGGAAAATTCCTGAGCATAAATGCCACTTTCTTCTCCACCCCACTTTCCTCTGCTGCAGCAACACAGCCAGCTGGCTCCCCAGATCCTGACTGCTCCCAGAACCTCAGACCCTTTCCCTCAGTCCTTAAGTTGCTCTTTAACAAATCCTAAGAAAAGCCATTGGTAACTGAAGCCACCATTTCAACTGTTCAGAAGCTTTAATTTGTTGCTGACATTCTCTTCCAGTTGCAGAACTCAGAATCCACAGTGAATTTCTAGGTCCAAGTTTTAAGGTTGCTTGGGGGTTATCAAAACAGACTCAATTATTTCAGCTAAAATATTAAAAGAAACTCCTATGGAAGCAGTAAATAATGAATTCTCAGATTTTTGGAGGCAGGGAGGAGGTTGTAAAAAGGATAGGAAAAGAAAACTATTTTCCAAAAAGAAAAAGAATAAAACAAAGAAAAAAAGAAAACTGTATTTTCCCCTTCAAATATCTCTTAGTACATTTCAAGAAAGCCTAAGATAAAACAAAGGAAAGTTTAGTTACATGTATTTTCTACCAACGGAAACATAGGTAACTAAAGATCATTTATGGCAATGGTTTTTTTTTCCTTTTCTTCTTTTTTCTTTTGAGACAAAGTCTCACTCTATTGCCCAGCCTGGAGTGCAGTGGCATGATCTCAGCTCACTGCAACCTCCGCCTCCCGGGTTCAAGCAATTCTCCTGCCTCAGCTTCCTGAGTAGCTGGGACTCCAGGCATGCACCACCATGCCCAGCTAATTTTTGTATTTTTAGTAGAGACGGGGCTTCGTCATATTGACCAGGCTGGTCTCAAACTCCTGACCTCAAGTGATCCGCCCACCTCAGCCTCCCAAAGTGCTGGGATTACAGGTGTGAGCCACTGGACCCGGACCATGGCAACAGTTTTCAACCACTGAGCCACAGAATCCTGTGAATATCGAAGGAAAGCTATAGAACCTTCCCCTGGAAAAATATACATATACTTAAATTTTACATGTAATTTCAGAGACTTCATTGACTCTAGGAACCCTAGATTTAAAACTCCTAATTTAAAATTATTTCACTCAATTTTTTTTTTTTTAAGTTGGAGTCTCACTCTGTTGCCCAGGCTGGAGTGCAATGGTACAATCTCAGCTCACTACAACCTCTGCCTCCTGGGTTCAAGCAATTCTCCTGCCTCAGCCTCCCGAGTTGCTGGGATTACAGGCCTGTGCCACCACACCTGGCTAATTTTTTGGTATTTTTAGTAGAGATGGGGTTTCACCATATTGGTCAGGCTGGTCTTGAACTCCTGACCTCAGGTGATCCACCCACCTCGGCCTTCCAAAGTGCTGGGATTACAGGCGTAAGCCACCGTTCCCAGCTCAGTCTTGCTTTTAAATCTACTCTACCTTTAAATTAGGCAGCGTACTCTCTAACACATGAAGCCTGATGGGTATATGAATGGGCCAGATAATTTTCTGGTTGTTTCCTATACTCGATGATAAGCTTCTCTGCTGTCTTTTCTTTCTTTCAAATAGTAGAACTTAAATTGTCAGAAAGGGGAAAAATGAAACAAATGAGTTTTCCAGAAGAGTTGTCATAATAAATGAGATACCAATTTGAAATGGCTACAAAAATCTAAACTATACCTCTATTCAGCCTAAAGATGCAAAGGGCAATGTGGAAAAGATTGGCAGTTGTCGGTACGGAAAATAGTGTAGTTCAAGGACACATCTCATCTTTTTACTGCTAAAAAGGATGTTGATAAAATCATTCTGGCAAACAACTACTGGCAACTCCAGCTCTCAGGGGACAATCTAACTTGGGTTCTCATTAACAGTGAAAACCTAACAACCTCAGCCTAAGCCAAAAATGGCCCTCAAGCACGTAACAGTACCAAAAAAAAAAAAAGTTACTTATTTTTCTTTTTAAAATGAAGTAAACACACAGGGAAAACTACGGATAAAGAGCACAGTAGATACTTTTGCCTTGAATCAGAGCCAGTTACCAGAGGTATTTAGGTTTTCCTCTTTTCTGAGATTTCTAGACAAAAATAAAAGGAGAGCCCATGGTAACATCTCCCAGCATTCTTTATATTTCCTTTCCCTAGTCCAACTGCTATAAAACAGTCCTGACTTAGATGTTTCCTATAGCTGGGTAGAATGCTCTTTATATAACACAGGTGTCAGGTCAGAGAAGAAAGGCCAACTGTGATTTGGTGAAAGTTATTAAACAGAAAGAATGAGCTAGAATAAACAGGGAGGCAAAATACATTGTTTCTAAACAACTGCTCAAACCTGAAGCTGCCTTCCAAGTCACCTCACCACATATGTGGCTTGCCCACCAATCTGAGCTATTTCACAATGGAGTATCACCTGGTTTGTTTATAAAATAAATCAGGACTAGGTAGGATGCAGTGGCTCACACCTGTAATCCCAGCACTTTGGGAGGCCAAGGCAGGCCGAACACTTGAGGTCAGGAGTTCCAGACCAGCCTGGACAACATGGCGAAACCCCATCTCTACTAAAAATACAAAAATTTGCCAGTGTGGTGGTGTGCACCTATAGTCTCAGATACTTGGGAGGCTAAGACAGGAGGATCACTTTAACCTGGGAGGTAGAAGCTGCAGTGAGTTGAGATGGTGGCACTGCACTCTAACTGGGGTGACAAAGTGAAACCCTGTCACAAACGAACAAATCAGGACCAAACTGCTTTGAAAAGTAAAGTGCCATGTTAACATTTTTAATGTTAGCAGAAGTTTGGATTCTACTCGAATTCCAAGATGACACAACAAACACTTCTTTCAGTCTTTCTCTACAGCTCACATGAGATTTCCCCTTCTTCTACTAAATCACAGAATCAGAAAACCTGAGAGCCAGGAAGCAAATGCACTTCTAGGGAAAATCCCTTTGTTTGTTTTTAATATAATATATATCTAAAAATGGCCAGGCACAGTAGCTCACGCCTGTAATCCCAGCACTTTGGGAGGCCAAGGCAGGAGGATTGCTTGAGCCCAAGAGTTCAGGACCAGCCTGGCAACACAGCCAGACCCTGTCTCTACAAAAAATTTAAAAATTAGCCAGGCGTGGTGGCACATGCCTGTAGTCCTAGCTACTTGAGAGGCTGCAGCAGGAGGACCGTTTGAGCCCAGGAGGTCAAGGCTGCAGTGAGTTATGATCGTGCCACCATACTCCAACCTGGGCAACAGAGCAAAACTCTGTCTCAAAAATTATATATACAAACTCTGTCTCAAAAATTATATATATATATATATATACATATATATATATACATATACATATATATATATACATATATATATATATATGAATGAGACAATTATTAAACATTTCTGAAATGTTTATATTTTCCATGTTATTATATAGTTTCTGAAGACTTTAAGTTTACATAAAAATTTAACCAAGTCCTTAATAAGTCACCTATCTTAGACATTTATGTCATTTCTAAATGTTTTCAACCATTAAATAATAGTGCAAGGAATATCTTTGTGCACGGTGTTCTTCTTTATTTAGAATTAATTCCTTAGTAAAGGTCCTTAGAAGTACAACTCCAAAATTAAAAATATAAACATTGAAAAAGAATCTAACTGGCCACAAGCCTGCTCAGAGGCTAATAATCTATTTGCACTTCCTCCCATTTACAAATAAGAATGAGGCTGATCCAAGGTCATCCAATAGCTAGTGGCAAAGATGGAATAACAAGACTGATTGCTAGGTTTAGAATCCTCCTCACAGTATCACTCTTGCTCTCACTATATCACCTGAAAAGCCAAAAGGGGTTGAGCTCCACAGGCTGTCTAAAAAGGGAAAAATCGCAGAAATACCAAGAAGGAAAAAGGCTGGTATCTCTCCACATTCTGCCTACTTTTTAATAATTAAAGGTATTTTAGCTTAACTAAATCCACCAGTGATTCTCAACTTAGACACAAAACCTTTCTTATAAAACTTAAATATTTAGAACCGGTGCAGTGGTTCACGCCTGTAATCCCAGCACTTTGGGAGGCCAACGCGGGTGGATCACTTGAGGTCAGGAATTGGAGAAAAACCTGGCCAACAGGGTGAGACCCCGTCTCTACAAAAAATACAAAAATTAGCCAAGTGTGGTGGAGTATGCCTGCAATCCCAGCCACTACTTGGAAAACTGAGGCATGAGCTGAGATTGCATCACTGCACTCCAGCCTGGGCAACAGCAGAGCAAGTCTCTGTCTTAAAAGACAAACAAACAAACCTGGCTGAATTCATTCTCCTACTGAATACTGTGTTCCAAGTATGGTCTGACCAGCCTGAAATGGAACAGGACTATCACCTTCTTCATTATGACACTCCATAACCACAAAGCCTCAGCTTAAATTATTTTATTACACTTTTTCAATCAACAGAGACTCCTTTTTTCCCCAAATATAGAGCTGCTAAACCATATCTCTAGCTTTTTTTTTTTTTTTGAAACGGAGTCTCGCTCTGTTGCCCAGGCTGAAGTGCAGTGGCATGATGTCAGCTCACTGCAACCTCCGTCTCCCAAGTTCAAGCAATTCTCCTGCCTCAGCCTCCCAAGTGGCTGGGATTACAGGCTTGTGCCACCACAACCGGCTAATTTTTATATTTTTAGTAGAGATGGGGTTTCACCATGTTGGCCAGGTTGGTCCTGAACTCCTGACCTCAGGTGATCCACCAGCCTCGGCCTCCCAAAGTGCTGGGATTATAGGCATGAGCCACCACGCCCAGCCTCTAGCTTTTTTATAAATTTAGCTTTATGAAGACTTTATTAAAAAAAATTTTTCTTTGAGATGGAGTCTCGCTTTGTCGCCCAGGCTAGAGTGCAATGGCACGATCTCAGCTCATTGCAACCTCTGGCTTCCGGGTTCAAGCAATTCTCCCGTCTCCTCTGGGTAGCTGGGATCAGCACACCCGGCTAGTTTTTGTACATCTTAGTAGAGACGGGGTTTCGCCATGTTGGCCGGGCTGGCCTTGAACTCCTGACCTCAAGTGATCCGCCCACCTTGGCCTCCCAAAGTGCTGGGATTATAGGCGTGAGCCACTGTGCCCGGCCTATAAAGACATTTAAAAATAAAACTATGGCTGAGGTGGGAGGGTTGCCTGAGTCTGAGAGTTTGAGGATGCAGTGAGCAGTGATCATACCACTGCATTCCCAGCCTGGGCGACAGTGAAACTCTTGTCTCAAAATCAATCAATCTATGCACAAAAGAAAAATCACTGGCCAACACAACTTTTCACCAATTCTCATATTTAACCCTGTCCTAGCAATAATCATAGAATCTCAAGGATGGAAGGCTCATTAAAGATCTTTCAGCCCATCTCAATTCCTCCACTCCCCTCACATGTTCTACTCCATCCCCAATTTGATGTTCCCAAAACATCTCAGCCAAATCAGGAAGCAGGCTGAGCCTGAATACTGACAGAGAATCAAACATTCAAGGTAACCTAGTTCATTTCTGGACTCCAGTAGTCAGAAGGTTTTTGCTAAGCCGGCATCAATTCTCTACTGGCACCCTAAGCTGCCTCCTGGAGCAAGAGAACGTAAAAATAAAAGCATAATGTGAGTAGCACTGGCCATGGACTTGGAAAGATCTGGTTCCATGTCCTGTCTCTCGCACTTACCGAGAAAGACAGCAAGCCACTTGACCAGTTCTTTCATTTGTTAAAAAAGGCTAACAGGATCTTCCAAGGTTTGTCATTGAGGATTAAATAAGATTGCAAGTGAAATAGAGCTAGCACAGTGCTTGGCTGGGTATTGAAAAAAATATTTGTGCCTTTCCTCCTATCCCCTCATGATGAGTCACATGCTGACAATTCCATAAGTAAAATGATTCCAGCTCCTTCAAGCACTAGTCATAAAAACAGAATAATAATAGCACCTACCCACAGAATGTTTATGAGGATTAAAGAGATGATAGTACATATAAAATACTAAGAACAGTGCCTGGCACAGAGTAAGTACTCAAAACGTTACCAGGTATTATATTAGCAGTGTTAGACATCATCTCTGCCCCCTCACGTCTTTTGCTCATCTCTGAACTTTCTCCAACTGAACACTGTGTTCCAGGTATGGTCTGACCAGCCTGAAATGGAACAGGAGTATCATCTTTTTCATTCTGACACTGCATAACCACAAAGCCTCAGAATAAATTATTTTATTATGCTTTTTCAATCAACAGAGACTCGTTTTTCCCCGAATATAGAGCTGCTAAACTTTATAATTCCATATTTAAATCATTATTTGCACTAATCTCCACAACATACCTTCATGATAGACTCGACCAAAACCACAAGTAGAGTTCAGTAACAAAACTCTTATATTTTTTATGTTTTTCACAAGAGATGTAACAAGCAGACAACAGGGTTCTTAATCTCTCCTCTCACATGGGATATTAAATATAAATATTCAATATTTTCTCTTCAAGTTTAACCCCAGAACTGCTTTAGCAAATCTCACTCAAATGCAAAATTTTTAAAAAGGTGATGTCAGATCTGAAACACAAGTACTAAACAGGAAAGAAGTAACATAGAATGACTCATTTTCAATATAAATGACACTTAAAAAATAATCTTCACACCATGTGGCAGACATGAAGCCAAATACTTTACATGCATTATTATCTCAATCTTTGCAACAACCTCTGAAGTATTATTGTAATTATTTTACAGATAAACTGTGGGTTCCAAAAAGTATATTCCAAGATTATCTGGCAAGTAAACTCTCACTTGAACCCAAGTTGGTGTGATTCTGAAGCCCATACTCTGGCTTTTTTTTTTTTTTTTCTTTTTTGAGACAGAGTCTATGTAGTGGTGTGATCATGGCTCACTGCAGCCTTGACTTTCAGGGTTCAAGCGATCCTCTGGATCCTCCTACCTAGCCTCTCAAGAAGCTGGGGTCACAAGCATGTGCCACAACACCCGGCTAATTTTTGCCTTTTTTTGTAGAGAAAGGGTTTCACCATGTTACCCAGGGTGGTCCAAACTCCTGGGCTCAAGCCATCCACCTGCCTTACCCTCCCAAAGTGCTGGGATTACAGGCGTGAGCCACGAACCAGTATGAAGCTGATACTCTTAATTGCTACAGGATACTTCCTCCTTCAACAATAACAACAGTTACGACCTACTGAACATTCCCTTACAAATGCTCAAGTTCTGAAATTGGGCTTCCTGAAGTATCCCACACCACAATATATAACCTCATTAACAACCCTTACTTCTATCAAGCACTAAGGGAGAGGCCTAGTATTACACATTGGTGAAGCTGATACAATTAGTACAAAAATGAATGCTTATACAAAAGGCTATCTTTAATTACAGTCTTTTAATTTTTTTTTTGAGACAGTGTCTCGCTCTGCCACCCAGTCTGGAGTTCAGTGGCCCAATCACACGGCTCACTGTGGCCTCAACCTCCTGGGATCAGTGATGCTCCCACCTCAGCCTCCTGAGTAGCTGGGACCACAGGTGTGTACCACCACACGAGGCTAATTTTTAAAATTATTTGTAGAGACAGCAACTCCCTATGTTACTCAGGCTGGTCTCCAACTCCTGGGCTCAAGGGATCCTTCCACCTCAGCCTCCCAAAGTGCAAGGATTATAGGCTTGAGCCACTCTGCTCAGCCTACATAGTAATTCTTATACCTTTTCATATTTATTCTATTTTTTAAAGTTTTTTTCCTAAGTATTTTAAGTCAATTCCTCAAAAAAAAAAAGGTGTCTATTCTGACACCCACGTATTCATTCAGGAAACATTTCGAACTGACTACTGTGTGGAACACTTATCAGTGGTATAACGTTGTGCTGAATACCAGTCAGCACCTTCAAGGGAATTACTCTCTGGTAACAGTTATGCTTTAACAGCTAGCTACAATAGGAGATGATATCTGAACTAGGCTTTGCTCAAATAAATTCTATTTCCAATAGTGAAAAATGGGAAAAGGAGACATGTAACATAAAGGAACAGCATAAAAATACTTAGGAATCCAACTTACAAGGGATGTGAAGGACCTCTTCAAGGAGAACTACAAACCACTGCTCAATGAAATAAAAGAGGATACAAACAAATGGAAGAACATTCCATGCTCATGGATAGGAAGAATCAATATCGTGAAAATGGCCATACTGAGCAAGGTAATTTATAGATTTAATGCCATCCCCATCAAGCTACCAATGACTTTCTTCACAGAATTGGAAAAAACTACTTTAAAGTTCATATGGAACCCAAAAAGAGCCCGCATTGCCAAGACAATCCTAAGCCAAAAGAACAAAGCTGGAAGCATCATGCTACCTGACTTCAAACTATACTACAAGGCTACAATAACCAAAACAGCATGGTATGGTACTGGTACCAAAACAGAGATATAGACCAATGGAACAGAACAGAGCCCTCAGAAATAATACCACATATCCACAACCATCTGATCTTTGACAAACCTGACCAAAACAAGAAATGGGGAAACGATTCCCTATTTAATAAATGGTGCTGGGAAAACTGGCTAGCCATATGTAGAAAGCTGAAACTGGATCCCTTCCTTACACGTTATACAAAAATTAATTCGAGATGGATTAAAGACTTAAATGTTAGACCTAAAACCATAAAAACCCTAGAAGAAAACCTAGGCAATACCATTCAGGACATAGACATGGGCAAGGACTTCATGTCTGAAACACCAAAAGCAATGGCAACAAAAGCCAAAATTGACAAATGGGATCTAATTAAACGAAAGAGCTTCTGCACAGCAAAAGAAACTACCATCAGAGTGAACAGGCAACCTACAGAATGGGAGAAAATTTTTGCAATATACTTATCTGACAAAGGGCTAATATCCAGAATCTACAAAGAACTCAAACAAATTTAAAAGAAACAAACAACCCCATCACAAAGTAGGGGAAGGATATGAACAGACACTTTGCAAAAGAAGACATTTATGCAGCCAACAGACACATGAAAAAATGGTCATCACTGGCCATCAGAGAAATGCAAATCAAAACCACAACGAGATACCATCTCACACCAGTTAGAATAGTGATCATTAAAAAGTTAAGAAACAGGCTGGGCACAGCGGCTCACGTCTGTAATCCCAGCACTTTGGGAGGCCAAGGCAGGTGGATCATGAGGTCAGGAGATCGAGACCATCCTGGCTAACACGGAGAACTCCCATCTCTACTAAAAATACAAAAAATTAGCTGGGCGTGGTGGCGGGCACCTGTAATCCCAGCTACTCGGGAGGCTGAGGCAGGAGAATGGCGTGAACACGGGAGGTGAAGCCTGCAGTGAGCCAAGATTGTGCCACTGCACTCCAGCCTGGGCAACAGAGCAAGACTCCGTCTCAAAAAAAAAAAAAAAAAGTCAGGAAACAACAGGTGCTGGAGAGGATGTGGAGAAATAGGAACACTTTTACACTGCTGGAGGGACTGTAAACTGCTTCAACCATTGGGGAAGACAGTGTGGCAGTTCCTCAAGGATCTAGAACTAGAAATACCATTTGACCCAGCCATCCCATTACTGGGTATGTACCCAAAGGATTATAAATCATGCTGCTATAAAGACACATGCGCACGTATGTTTACTGCAGCACCATTCACAATAGCAAAGACTTGGAACCAACCCAAATGTCCATCAATGATAGAATGGATTAAGAAAATGTGGCACATATACACCATGGAATACTATGAAGCCATAAAAAAGGATGAGTTCATGTCCTTTGTAGGGACATGGGAACATCACACACTGGGGCCTGTTGTGGGGTAGGGGGAGGCGGGAGGGATAGCATTAGGAGACATACCTAATGTAAATGACGAGTTAATGGGTGCAGCACATCAACATGGCACCTGTATACATTATGTAACAAACCTGCACGTTGTGCACATGTACCCTGGAACTTAAAGTATAATAAATAAAAAAATTAAAAAACAAAAAAGGAACAGCATAATACAAAGGACAAAAAAAAAGGCTGAAAACAAATGGCACATTCAGGGAACGGTAAGTCACTGTGGTAGAGAAGTAGGTGTAAAAGTATCTGGATTAGTAATCTAACCTGCAGGAATGGGAGCCATGGGAGGTTTTCAAGTAGACTTAGAAGGAGAACTTGGACAGCAGCATGGACGACAGATTCAAGGGAGAAATATCAGGCAAACATTTCGGTAATCCAGGTGAGTGGTAATACAGTCTTTAACTGGGACAATGGTGGAAAGAGAATGATTAACAATTACAAAGGTAGAATTGACCCCATTTGACAATCTGTTAGATGAGGCACGGGGATTAGAAGGGCAGTGGGAAAGATGTGAAATCTCACAGATGACTGAAAAGGCAGGGGGCATGGAGGGTGGGGAAGCAGTTAGCTCCAGACCTCACGGTTCACAACTAACATTAAACACCAAATGGATTAGAGAATTTTTTAAAAAAGAAAAAATAGTTATATACTCTTAAAATGAGAAAGAAGTTTACAAACACTACTACAGAAGCAGAAATCAGAAAGGAAAAGATAAATTGGCTAGTATTTAAACTTCTGTAAGGCCATTTTTAAAAAACTAAATAAAACTTTAACAGGAAAGGTTACTGGAGGAAAAAAAATCACAACATATAACAAAGAGCTAACAATATTCCATAATCTTTACATGTATATACATTTTAAACACTTGAAATAAAATGGCAAACATTTCCCTAGAAAAATATGCTAGAAACACAAATTTAAAAATTCATAAAATATACATATAGCCAGTAATTTATAAGAAAATTTCTCAATCTTACTACTAACCAAAGAAATACAAAGTAAAGTAACAATATCACCATCTTCAGCTATCAGACTAGCAAAGATTTTTTAAAATAACATTGTTGTCCAGTGTGTCGAGAAGCCCCACATTCTGACACACAATTCTAGGAGAAAATCCGGCACCATATACCATCTACAGCAAACTTACAAACACTTCTATAAAACGAAAAGAGAAGGTTTTTTTCTTATTTTTTAAAAGATGATTTGGTGACTTGCGGCATGGATGACTACATAAAAGATGATGCCATTAAACAAGAATGGGGACACCCACAAAAGCCGGAGAGGATGAGCAATTCACGGTTGAAACATGTTCAGCTTGAAATGTCAACGGGACGTCCAGACAGTGGCATCTTGTAGGCAGTTGGAAACACAGGTCTCAGGAGGGAGACCTGTTGCTGAAGACCTAAATCTGGAAAATGGCACCACAAGAGTAGATAAGCCCACAGAGAAAGAGGCTGTGGAGAAAAATGTAAAAGCTGAAGCACTGTGCCTCAGAGAACACCAACACTTAAGAGGTGAAAGAGACAAAGATAGCGTCTGTGATCAAGTTAAGAACCAGGAGAGAATCACACAATGGCAATCACGGAAGGAAAAAATCAGCAAACTGGTAGAGGTCACCAGCTTTCAATGCTGCAGAGAGGCGGGTGGTGAAGAGAAAAGAATGTGGCACACAAGCAAGGTCATCTTTGGCTCCTGTAAGGGGAGTCTTAGTGGAGTGGTGACACAGGAGTCCATTTAAAATAACTAGAAAAGTAACTAAAAGTAGGAAGGAGAGGCAGCAAATGTAGGCTTCTTTTTCTAATTTTTATTTTATTATTATTACTTTTTTTATAATGGAGACAAGGTTTCACTATGTTGTCCAGGCTGGTATGGAACTCCTGAACTCAAGAGATTCTTGACTTCCAACCCCCAACTCCCTCCCCGCCCCCTTCTCCATCTCCCAAAGTACTGGGATTACAGGCATGAGTCACTGCACCCAGCCAACTTCTTTTTCTAGAAGTGTAAGAAAGGAAGAGGAAAAACTAGGGGGAACGGAGAAGGAGTTAGTCTGAGATGGTGACATGTCCTGGGAAAGTGTCTTTTTATTTTTTTTAAATGATTGTGGAAAAAGCATATTTTTATAGTCTGCAAGAAAAGAACACGTGAAGGAGGGGCTAAAGATACAGGAATAAGAACAAAAGAAAGCAAGGTTCTGAAGAGCAGAGGCGGCAGCCAGCTACAGAAAGGAATATACCCCACTTCCTCCCTGAGATAAGAGGGAAGGACATAAGAAAAACCAAGAATGACATGTTACCCGCTAACTTCTCTGAGCTTCCATTTCCCATATATAAAGCAGGATTAGCAACACACCAAACTTCATAAGGTTGTTGTAAGGATTAAATGAGATGATACATACCAAATACTAGTGATCACCTGGAGTCCACTAAGGAGACCATTCAGAGGCAAAACTTCTTATCTGAGGAATTTAGAAGTAATTAACTTCCCTGTTATCTAAAATCGGCACCTGGTTCCAGCTCTCTTTTCAACCTAAAATTTGTAAGCAACTAGACTTTCTATACATCTCTGGAATGCCATGCCGAAACTCCCTGTGCAACCCTTGCTGACATTACGTCTAAAAATGTAATCATTTATCATGACCTATTGGCTAATATGGTCCAAACTACCCTTAAGCTCCTGCTTTAAGTTCCATAAATACCCTAAGGAAAAATCCACCGCGAGCTCAGTTCTCTCTTGCTGAGGCATTCTTCTGCAGAGTTCCTTCTTTCTAATAAAACTTTCCTTTTTCAAACCTATACTGCTGTCAGTAAATTCTTCCTACCAACCTGTGAGTTGACTACTTTCCAATGCCGGGGCTCTGACACCTCACCCAGCAACTAGTAGTAGGCTCTAAATAATGATAGCTATGTATATGTGTATGTACACATGAGTGTGGGGGTGAAATGGTTAGATCCACAGAAATAAACCTGCTAATGGAGTCTGACACTCCATGATTTACATAATACCTGTCTATCTTGTCTTACTGATAACACTTTTCAAAGGGAGTACATACTTGGCCCTACCCACTCTACACTCAGCAAGACAAATAAATAACTATACTGAGAACTCTACTGTGGTAAACCTTAAAACAAGCCCAGACTAAGAGCATATGCAGAAAAGAATAAGGGTGGAAATCTGAATTAGGGGTCTGTGGAGAGGAAACCAGTTGAACAAGTTCTGCAGAGCACATGACTTCAGTGGTTTCCCAGCTCTGTGCAATACAGAAGGGGAACATACCAATGCCGGAACTGACCACTTCAAGCCACTGAGATTCAGTTCCTCCAGGAACAGCTCCTCTGGTACCACACCCATCTTGCACAGCAAACATCCCTGAATGCCAGGGTTACTCTATGCTAAAAACCTCCCAAATTTGGCTGTCTTTCTCCACAATTAGGATTCTACTAAACCACTAACACTTCTGAGCACCACCTAGGCATTGGAAACAGCCTAGAAATTTCCATATGGTAATGGTAAATCTAAGTCTTGAGAGAAAGGAATGCAGAGTATTCCATAAAGCATTCTTCACCATACGCAGAAAGAGGGGAATCAGGATGACTTCCCAGAGAAAATGGTACTGATTTTATAGGTCTTGAAAGACTTGTGGTATGTGCTGATAAGGGAGAATACGTCAGGCCAAGGGCAGAGAATGTGCAGACCCTTGGAAGGATTTACACAGGAATTAAAGAATAAGATTTAATTCAAAAGACCATTCTGAGCAGTTGTAG
This sequence comes from Homo sapiens, assembly GCF_000001405.40. NCBI lineage: Eukaryota > Metazoa > Chordata > Mammalia > Primates > Hominidae > Homo > Homo sapiens. The sequence continues at coordinate 90,412,392 of NC_000015.10, read as the reverse complement.
GAGAAAGGGCTAGAGAGAAGTGAGGAGACACTAAAGAAAGTATTGCAGTAATCCAGCCAAGGAACAAAAAAGGCTTGTTTTTCAAACCATACAAGCAAAATGAGAAATCTTGATAGTATCTGTTTTAAAGGAAACCTGAGTATAAATTAGGCCAATCTGAAAAGCTATAGGAATAAGTGAAAAACAGGGAAATGTTTTTGCTTCAAGTTATATATTTAACTTCTGTGTGTATTTATATCTAATACAGACCCCTGAGCAAATCACTTCATTCTTAGCATAATCAGATAGAATAGGTCAAGTCTACTTGTCAAAATTACATGTCTAATTGTTTTATTTTAATAGAGTCCCTGGTCTTATTGGAGAAATGGAAACTAGATCATAGTGATGGGTTGCACAACTCAGCAAATTTACTAAATATTATTGAATTGTACATTAAAAAAACAGGTGGATTTTGTGGGATGTGTATTAAACTCCAATAAAGTTTTTCGTTTGTTTAAGTCTCGGCTAATAGATTACTTACTCCTTGATCAAGTCTTCAGATCCAGAGTCTGGTGAAACATTACCATGGTCAGCTGTCTATCTATCCATCCATCCCTAGTTTACCACTTACCATGGAGCATGAAAGACCTTTTAATCTTAAATGAAATGAAATGAAATTCCAAAACTGAGTTAAATCTAGATGATAGCTAAGTCTCAGAAGCTACAGCTTAATCATTACTAACCTGTGAGCAGCTCTACAGCCTAATCATTACTAACCTGTGAGCAGCTCTTGAGAAGAAAACAACAGGTAAGAGTCCTCTACAAAGTAGAAGACAGGCACCTATTTCTCTGTAAAAGCAATCCTCTGCTAGAGCCATATATGTCAAAAATTTAATTTTCACACCTATTATTTAGTAAGAAAATAAGGGAGTGGGGGTTAACTATGATATACATTAAGAACACAGTACTGCCAGGTGAGGTGGCTCACGCCTATAATCCCAGCACTTTGGGAGGCTGAGACAAGGAGGATCATCTGAGCCTGGGGGTGTTGTGGCTGCAGTGAGCCCAGATCACACCACTGCATTCCAGCCTGGGTAACAGAGTGAGACCCTGTCTCCAAAAAAAAAGAAAAGAAAAGAAAAGAAAGAAAGAAAGAACGTAGTACTTGCCTTCTAAGGCTAACAGTGCATTAGGAAAGAGAAAAGTTATAATAAAGATACATGAGAGAGGAACATCTAACTTAGACCTGGGGTAAGGATGGATGGCCAAGTGAGTTTCCCAGAGGAATGCTAACTGATTTTCTTAGATAGGCAATATATTTTTTACACAGGTCAATACTTCAATACACAGTTCGAAATTCAAAAAGCATAAAAAAGATACCCAATTAAAAGGAAGAAAACTCCATGAATTGAACAGGAAAGAGTGACATATGCTGCAGAGATTAAGTACTAGAAAAATTTCCATGGGACATAGCAATTAGGCCATTGGTGATATGAGCAAGAGAAATTTCTTTTTCTTTTTCTTTTTTTTGAGGGGATCTTGGGAATGTTTTTTCTTTTTTTTTTTTTTTATTATACTTTAAGTTCTAGGGTACATGTGCACAACATGCAGGTTTGTTACATATGTATACACGTGCCATGTTGGTGTGCTGCACCCATTAACTCATCATTTAGCATTAGGTATATCTCCTAATGCTGTCCCTCCCCCCTCTCCCCTCCCCCTACCCCACAACAGGCCCCAGTGTGTGATGTTCCCCACCCTGTGTCCATGTGTTTTCATTGTTCAATTCCCACCTATGAGTGAGAACATGCGGTGTTTGGTTTTCTGTCCTTGTGATAGTTTGCTGAGAATGATAGTTTCCAGCTTCATCCATGTCCCTACAAAGGACATGAACTCATCCTTTTTTATGGCTTCATAGTATTCCATGGTGTATATGTGCCACATTTTCTTAATCCAGTCTATCACTGATGGACATTTGGGTTGGTTCCAAGTGTTTGCTATCATGAATAGTGCCGCAGTAAACATACGTGCGCATGTGTCTTTATAGCAGCATGATTTATAATCCTTTGGGTACATACCCAGTAATGGGATGGCTGGGTCAAATGGTATTTCTAGTTCTAGATCCTTGAGGAATTGCCACACTGTCTTCCACAATGGTTGAACTAGGAAATACCATTCAGGACATAGGCATGGGCAAGGACTTCATGTCTAAAACACCAAAAGCAACGGCAACAAAAGCCAAAATTGAGAAATGGGATCTAATTAAACTAGAGCTTCTGCACAGCAAAAGAAACTACCATCACAGTGAACAGGCAACCTACAGAATGGGAGAAAATTTTTGCAATCTGCTCATCTGACAAAGGGCTAATATCCAGAACCTACAAAGAACTCAAATAAATTTACAAGAAAAAAACAAACAACCCTATCAAAAAGTGGGCAAAGGATATGAACAGACACTTCTCAAAAGAAGACATTTATGCAGCCAACAGACACATGAAAAAATGCTCATCATCACTGGTCATCAGAGAAATGCAAATCAAAACCACAATGAGATGCCATCTCACACCAGTTAGAATGTCGCTCATTAAAAAGTCAGGAAACAACAGGTGCTGGAGAGGATGTGGAGAAATAGGAACACTTTTACACTGTTGGTGGAACTAAGCAAGAGAAATTTCAATGGGGAAAAGGAAGGCACAGGAATTACATCCAAATGAGTTAAGTTAAGGAAGTGAATATAGGGGCAGGGCACAGTGGCTCACACTTGCAATCCCAGCATTTTGGGAAGCCAAGGTGAGTAGAACACTTGAGTTCGTAAGTTCGAGGCCAGGCTGGGCAACCCAGTGAAACCCGTTTCTACAAAAAAATGTAAAAATTAAGGCCTGGCGCAGTGGCTCACGTCTGTAATCCCAGCACTTTGGGAGGCCAAGGCGGGTGGATCATTTGAGGTCAGGAGTTCGAGACCAGCCTGGCCAACATGGTAAGACCCCATCTCTACTAAAAATACAAAAATTAGCTGGCTGTTGTGGCGGGCACCCATAATCTCAGCTACTCAGGAGGCTGAGGCAGGAGAATCGCTTGAAGCCGGGAGGTGGAGGTTGCAATGAACCGAGATCGTGCCACTGCACTCCAGCCTGAGTGATAGAGCCAGACCTTATCTAAAAAAAAAAAAAAAAAAAAAGTGAATATAGGAAATTTTCCTTGAAAGAACAAAGAGGGGAAAACAATCAGGGTATCTAGGAGTAAGGAAGTGTATCTTGAATGGGTGAGGATGTTCATGTGCTAAAGAGAAAGAAGCAGCAGGAAAAAAAGTGCAAGTTATAGTTGGGAAAATAATATTGGAATAAGAACCCTAGAAGACAAGAAGGGATAGGATCTAGATCACACATAGAAGGTTAAGTGTTAGGAGAAAAATACGTTTTTCCCACTGCTACAGGGAAAGAGGTCAAGATGGCATGTTAAGCCAGCATGGTGGCATGCATCTGCAGTCCCAGCTACTCACAAGGCTGAGGTCTGGGGATGGCTGGAGCCCAAGAGTTCCCGGCTGCCATGAGCTATGATTGCACCCCTGCACTCCAACCTGGGCAAGAGAGCAAGACCCTTTCTCTAAAAATTAATTAATTAATTTTTTAAGTGATAGCATGTTAAATGAGATGGGGTAAATTTGTTAGGGCCAAAATGTGAAGAAGTTTTGAGAGAAAATAGATGTCATCAAGCCACGATGCAGGAAGGTAGAGACAGGGATGCCCACAAAGAATACAAGGTTTAGTATAACTTTTAGGTGATCAGCCCCACCCATCCCTGCCAATTCAAATGTTACCTTCAAAAGTCACCTCTCCTCCACGAACCTTTTCATGACCTACCATCAGAAATAATCTCTTCTCGTTCCAAACTTCCTCTAAACTTTCTTATGGCACTTTATATCTCTTTATCGCCTAATAGTTATTTATGTACATAAGGGTAGAATCCTTTTCTAATTTATCTTTGAATAAATTAGAAAGACTCTACTGAAAGACACACACTGCTCTTTCTCTCTTGCTTAGGGACCGTATTACTCCTGGTCTCAATTATAACCAAATAATAAAAGAAAAACAAAAACCAAAACAGAAAATTACCCCAAGCTCTTATCACCATAACACTGAAATTCTTTTTCCTACCACAACCCCCACATACCACACAACTCTGTACTCATTCAACTTAACAATATCCCCAAGCACCTACTTTGTAAAAAGCACTGTGGTGAGAGGTGCCATTGGGTACCAGGAAGTGGAAAGAGCTTCAACTCTAAAGGAGCACAGAGAACAAGACAAGTATACATAGTGTTATGCTTTCCCTTGAAAGGGAAACGCCTGACCATACAATGTCAGCTTATCCTGAAAAACCCAGCCATAAAATAATCTTTCCCTGTCTAAACTCTCACACATTAACTATTTGCATCATTTCCTCAGCAATTACATATTGCCTTGTGACACTGAGACCTCTCATTCTCTGATGTTGGGTAACTTTTCAAATGTTTATGCCCTGTCTTCAATTAATCCGTAAGCTCCTAAGGGCAGGACTGTTTTATACTTTCGCATCTTCTTCAGTTCTCCCAGAGTGTCCTGAACAATGGAGGAGCTAAAAACGTGTTTTACTTGCTTTAAAGTAATTATTTTATTGGAGGAATTTTCCCAACTTCTTAGCCATGTTAGAAAAAATGAGCAATGGAATAGTATCAAGTCATTCAAAATAAAAATAGTTTTTAATAACACAGGAAATGAAATAAAAATTGTTTTTAAATAACGAGAAAATACTTAGGTTAGAACATAACAATCTTCCATTAAACTGTTACACAGTCTAAACCTGAAAATCTGCAACACGGGTTTTCCCAAAGCAGCTCAGACACCGTTTGGAAATTTCTTATTGTTATATAAGAAACTATCCTCCTATTAAGCAGATTTCCATTGTCTAGTTCTGTTCCCCTGGCACCACATCTGACAAAATGAACTCCCCTCCCATCTCTCAGGAATTTTTTAGTAAAGTAGGTAAAATGTTAATATAACAGTTGACTGAATTCCTAAACTAGATGAAAGGTTGAGCTTCTGAGATTCTGATTTTATATTTCTTCTAAATCTTGTTTCCATTTTATATAGCCTCAGTATTCCCAATTATTCTTCATAGATCATAATTGGTAGACCCTTTATCATCCTGGTCATACTCATCGAACACGCTCTCATCCCAGAGCAACAACTAAGTCTCAACTAATGGACAACCAACACCCACTGATTGGGAGTGGTTCCTCAGCTTCTACGTTGAAAAGGATTCTGATCTATCAGCAGTGCTTGCTGTGGGTGTAAAATAACCTACCACAAATCTAACATCCTTGCTCTAGACTACGAGATCCATCTTAAAGTATGGCCTCCAGAACTAAACACCAATTTCAGGAAGCCTCTGATTAGTCCAGAGGACAGTGGAACCATCTTTTCCTTGGCTGCATATACCATATATCTACTAATGAGTTAATGAACTTCTCAGGTTTCTTTCATTTTGTTTTCGTTTCCCACCAACGTTATTCCCACTAACGCTACTTCTCTCCCTTATCCTATACACTTTTTGAACTCCAATGTAGGACATCACACTTATTACTATTGAATTTCATTATTAGATTCACGGTACATTGAAAGCAAAATGTGCCTTACAATATATTAACTATCTCTCTAGAAACAAGTAAAATCCTAACTTCACTGACACATCACTGACGCCCTAGTAAGTCCCAATAAAAATGTTTACAAATAACATGCCCTAAAAGTGCTTTCTCTGAACTAAAAATCTGCAGCTCTTTTTGCTGAGATACGATTCGTAACGTAAACTCATTTAAAATATACAATTCAGTTGCTTTTAGAATATTCACAATGTTGTACAACCGTCATCACTATCTAATTCCAGAACACTTTCATCAACCAAAAACAAACCCCGGCCGGGCACGGTGGCTCACGCCTCTAATCCCAGCACTGGGAGGCTGAGGCGGGTGGATCACCAGGTCAGGAGATCAAGACTATCCTGGTTAACACGGTGAAACCCCGTCTCTACTAAAAATACAAAAAATTGCCAGGCGTGTGTTTTTCTCTGATTCACCAATCTGGTGACCCTGTCCAAAAGGAAATGATGTTAATGTGACAGGGCTTTTTTTAGGGAGCCCATGTTGGCTCCCAAGCATCACTTTTCTCGCTAAGTGTTCATAAGTTATGCATCTGACAATGTGCTCTGGAATTTTTCTGGTCCAATGTTTGGCCAGAAACTAGTTTACTAGACCAGAATTTGTCATATTTATCTTTTCCTTTTTAATAATTAGTACATTTGCACCCCTCATTTTTAAAAACCACACTCCCGTCCTTTGCAATGCCTTAAAGATCACTGAGCAATTATACCTATCCAATTAGTACAATTATGGCTTTAATTTAAGCTCTATAAGCCAAGAACAGGATAACTCAACGGAGAATGTAAACTAACTATCATAAAACACAAAATAGCTGAGAAGTGACCATGAACATCTCCCAAATTCTTATTTGAAATAGTCTCTGAAGAAAGTCTTAGAGTCCAAAAATAAAAAATAAAGTAAAAGAAAGAAAAAATAGTCCCTCAAATCCGTAACTGATAGAAAAAAAAGTGTTCGCAAACCAGAAAAAAAAAAAAAACCTGGAACACTATTGATAAAGTAGGTTTGAGGAATATTGCATACACTATCCTTTGCCTTGGAGACTCAGAATTTACAAGTCTATGACAAAGATTCCAAATAATTTGCCACTTGAATAATATTTGGCTTGGTTTAACTCAGTATTTCTGAAGCTTATTTCACCACTAAACCCTTTCTTTAATGTCACAGCACAATATACCTCAAAAAATACTGATCTAGAAAGTCAGCCACACAGTTTTTCAAACTCCAAATTTGCACTCTCCTTTACACAAAGAATAAATTATGTTAGTTTGGCAAGTCTAGTAATCTCTTCACAGTCTTTATGTCAAAGCTGTTAATTCAAAACCTGTTTTCTCAACGCCAACTTTACTACACGATATTAATCTGTTTAGCATTACAATATAACTTGCTTGAAAGCACTCTGGAAAATCCTAACCAAATTCCCTAAAATGATAGTTAAGCCATATGTTTCAAAAAGCTCAACAGTTGAAGCTGCCTTGTTCTGAAAAAAATTAAGATATCAGTTCATAAACTAGAGCACAAGACACCCTCCAGAGCACATTTCCTAAGACACTGCTAAGACTCAAAATGTAAAATACGATTCAAAAGTCAAAAAAGCAGGATCTATCTTACTCCTCACACCAAAATAAATTCCAAATGGATCAAAGAGTTAAATATTAAAACACTTTACATCCTAAACATACTAGAGGAAAACATGGGAGAATGTTTTTATATAATCTCAGTATAGATAAGACTCTTTAAAAATCATGCAAAAAATTCAAAAACTAAAAGTAAAATATTAGTAAGTTCAAATATGTTTTAAAACTTTATTTGAAATACAAAGTCAAAATTTAAAGGACAATGGCCAGGTGAGGTGGCTCTTGGCTGTAATCCCAGCACTTTGGGAGGTCGAGGCAGGTGGATCACCCGAGATCAGGAGTTCAAGACCAGCCTGGCCAACATGGCAAAACCCTGTCTCTACTAAAAAAATACAAAAATTAGCTGAGTGTGGTGATACGCGCCTGTAATCCCAGTTCCTCGGGAGGATGAGGCACAAGAATCGCTTGAACCTGGCCAAGATCGGGCCACTGCACGCCAGGCTGGGCAACAGAATGAGACTTTCTCAAAAAAAAAAAATTAAAGGACAAAGTGGAATGAATATTTATAACACCCACGGTGTACAACGAGCCAATTTCCTCAATATATAAAGAGCTCTTACCACAATGAATAAGAAAAAGATGAATAATCCAATAGAAAAATGAGCAAAGGATTCTACCGAAAAAGTTCACAGAAAAGAACATACAAATGGCTTTTAAACACATGTAAAGATGCTCATCTTCACTCATAATTAGATAATCCAAAATAGCTACAATGAAATACCATTTTCACCTATGAAACTGGCAAATGTAAAAAATCTGTAATACTCTGGGTTGGTAAAATTAAAGCGGAAACAGCCTTCTTATATGTACATTATTGACAGGCAGATGTGCAAACTGGTACAACCTCTTACGAGAGCAAATTGGCAATATTTTTGAGAACTAAATATGCATATTCCCTTTGACCCAGAAATTACACTTTTAGAAATTTATCCTGCAAGAATACTCATACATGCACAATGGCATACCTACAAAGTGACTTTTTATAACAGCAAAAGCTGAGGAGAAAATGTCCGTTGACAGGTTAACTTCAAAACCGAAAACTAAAACTGTGAAGGAAAAAAAGAGGCACTTCATTCCACATTCACTCATATGGAATGAATTTTAAGATGCAAAGCAAAACGGTGGCTCATGTCTGTAAGCCCAACACTTAGGGAGGCCAAGGCGGGCAGATAACCTAAGGTCAGGAGTTCAAGACCAGCCTGGCCAACATGGTGAAACCCTGTCTCTACTAAAAATACAAAAATTAGCCAGGCCTGATGGCGGATTGCCTGTAGTCCCATCTACTTGGGAGGCTGAGGCGGGACAATCGCTTGAACCCTGGAGGTGGAGGTTGTAATGAGCCGAGATCACACCACTGCACTCCAGCCTGGGCAACAGAGCAAGACTCCATCTCAAAAAACAACAACAAAAAGATGTAAAGCAAAATGTACAGTGTGCAACCACTTCTAAACAAATCAAAGTAATTTGTATTTACATGCACAGAATATCTCCGGAAAGAGACACAATCATGATAGCAGTTCCATGTGGGGAAAATAACTGAATAGCTAGAGAAAGAAGACTAAGGATATAGACTTTTTTTCAGTGTTATATACTTGCATAGTCTCTGAATTATGTATCACGTCTGTGTATTACCTATTTCTAAGAAAAAAATGTTTTAAATTTAAAAATTTTAAATTAAGACCAAATCTATCTAAAAAACATTCCTATGGGGATTCTCAAATTTTTAAGGAAAACCCCAAAAGTCAAGCCATTGTCAAACACTACCTTTTTAAACTATCAATTATGAAAAGGTATTGCCCAAACTAATGACATAGCATGTCTTCAGGGAAGAAACACATTTTTGTGCAGCAGTGTGATCGTAGCTCACTGCAGCCTCGAACTCTTGGGCTCAAGTGATCCTTCCACCTCAGCCTCCCGAGTAGCTGGAACTACAGGTGTGTGCCACCACGTTTGGCTTTTTTTTATTTCTTATATTTTGTAGAGACAGGGTCTTAATATGTTGCCCAGGCTGGTCATGAACTCCTGGCCTGATGCTATCCTCCCTCCTCGGCCTCCGTAAGTGTTGGGATTACTGGTGTGAATCACAGGGCCCAGCCCAAAAAAACATTTTGTTATAATAGTCATTTAAATAAAAGACAAATTTTGTTTACTTTTAGCTGTTTTAAAGGTCATCTGAGATGTATGTTACTTACAGTAAAATGACCTGCTGATTAATGCCTACTGCATGCATATCTGTGAGACTTTTTCTATTTAAATGTTATCTTTTTCCTATTTTTAATGATTGTAAGTTTTTTTTCTCTTCTTTTCAACTTTTCCTTTTCTAATTTTGCCCCCACTCCCTCTTGTATTCCTCAATTCATTCTGTTTTTAGGATCACCAGTTAATTCTATTTGAGAAAATATTTTTAGTTTCTTATGTTGCTCATCAATAATCCCAAGCAATAGTCTGACACTTTTTAACCTTATGAATAAATACCTATCAGAGTAATACTATTTCCTTCTGCTGCAGAAACCTCACAGTTCTTAGAGCCCAGTGTGTCTAAATCCCCAAACAGCTGCCCCAACAGAAGCCAAGCCCTAGGCTGGCAGCTGCCTCTCCAATATTCCTTCTGCTTTTTGTTATGATTTCCAATGAGTCAACAGGAAGGTATTCTGAGTAAAGAAGAAATAGAGCTTTTAGACAGGCCTCTCCTCCTCCCACAACCCCAAAAATACAGTTCTTGCCAAATGATCCAAAGCAATTTCCAATCCAATTTGCCACTCCTGTCTGTATGAGGTAACTCTTTAACAAACAAGAAAGTGGTAGGAAGGAACACCTTTCTAAGCTGAATTCAAAGCAGATACCAGGTTATGAAGAAGGGAAGCAATTAGGAAGGGTCCAACAAGCTAGTTAGACACAAAAATACATAAGACAACTGGAGACTTTCCCTCAGGTGGCAGGTGGAAGAGACTCCAAAATAAGTGGCAGGAAATTGATGGAGTTCCCTCACTGACTTGAAAACTACACAAGTTACTTAATGTCTCTGGGCACCAGTTAAAGAGGTTAGACTTAAATGTTGCCACTTCAGCATCTGCAGAAGTTAAGAGCACCAGCTTTGGTGTCACAAACCTGGGCTTGAATTCCAATATATGACCTTGGGAAAAGTGTTATCAACTCTATTTTTTTCCCTCTTTAAAATAAAAATAATGCCTATCTCACAATAATGTAATATGTAAATTTCATCATCATTCTGCTTAATTAACAGTAGTTACTACTGTTGTCATTATTTTTAGAACCAGAAGTATAGCAGCAGCAGACTAACATGGCAGTTAAGAGAAAGGACTTCAGAGTTCTTGCCAAACCTGAAATCTGGATCAACCACTTATTAGATGAATGAGTTAACCTCTCTGAGCTTTGCTTTCTTATCTGTTAAATGTAGATAATAAGCACCTCACAGGGCTTCAAGAATAGCTAATTAGATAAAGCATATAAAGTGCTTAGCACAGTGCCTTGCATGTAGAAAGTATGCAATAAACGGTACTAATCATGACAATGAGGAAGAGGGGGAGAGGCAAGGGGAATACACTGACTTTGGGACAGACAGAAAATATTTTAGATTATGACTGCCTTGCAAATTGCAGGTTTTTGGTTTTTTGTTTTGGGGGATTATTTTGGCTTTCCTTTAGCTGCCTTAAAGTACTGAGGTTTCTAGAATAAAATGCCTTATTGAAATAACTAATTCTTCCCAACATACAACTATTTTTTTAAAAAATTTTAACCCAACATTCAAACTTCAGCAAGTAAACTCTTACTCTTCAAAATAAACCATTAACCAGATCTTTCTTAAACATTAATATGTTTAAGATTTTTTTAATTCACGCACTGTCAAACCACAGAGATCAATCAGATTGCTAGGAGACTTCAGGAGAAAAATTAAGGAGCAGAGCCCTGATTTGATCCGGTAGGCCACAGGCCCTCCAGGTTCCACTGGCACTTCACTCGGCTAACTCAACGATATGGTCTCTAGGCAACCAAGTCCTGAGTTAAGCAAACAACCACAGTAATATGAATCACTTCCGGATGTTCTCACTTTGCCTACCAGCGCTTTCTTACACAAATACTTCTTGTCAAGGGGTTTATTTAGCACCAGCTAGAAACAACCAAGAGTCCATCAGATACCACAAGGCTTAAAAATGTCCAAAACAGGTTCCACTACCAACTGGTATCCCCAGATGTGACACTGTGAAGCAGAAGGAATTGTACAGCAATCAGAGGCAGGTCACCACACTAAGCCGGAAAATGAAATTCCTAGAACATGCCAACTTGGGTCCTCAAATGTATTTTTACTATTTTGTCATTAGGGACATTAAAATATATAAAAACAGTTGCTCTGACCTGTAAGACCAGAAGAAATACATGCCAAATGAGGTCAAACTAACGGGCCACACTTAGCCCAGCCAGATTTTTTCCCCAACCTTGACTGGTGGACAATCCATACACTCAGCTGCCCGATTAACACTGGTTTTTCATGGCCACATCTATTTCAACACCTACGGATTATAAAGGGAAGTGGTAAACTATGTAACCCAACTATCTTGGCTACCTGCTCCTTTTTTTCACCTTGAAAGGATCTTTTGTGCCACACTCTTCTTCATGAACTAAAAAGAGATCATTTAAGCTATTAACAAGAATGGAGACGGAAAAGGAATTAATTAAAAATATAAACTACAATAGGACAAAGCAACTACCATTAACAGAACCAAGGAAAAAATATCAAGACTGTAGAAAATCAAGTCAGTGCAACAAAAGATGTATGTGAGACACATACCTAGAACGCTTATTTAACGTAAACAAAATGAAGAAGAGCCATAAAATAGACTACACAGATCTAACTAATCACCACAGGCATAATGGACAATTTCCTAAAGCTAAAATAAACAAACAAGAGACATTATAAACCAAGAAGAGTCTCCACATTGCAGGCAAAATTGCTAAGCCAATAGCAACCCTAACATGTTAACTGGGGAAATGTTTATACCTCAAGGAACAACAATTCTACAAATTTCAAGTCACGAAAAAAGGAAAAAAAAATCAAGTTACTTGTCATAGAGTTAAAATTAAGCTAGCTTCAGATGTTGTTTCTCAATGATAAGAAGTATAACAAAGTCATATATATTTTTCTCAAAAAAATGAAATATGGTTCACCATAATTTAAAAGTCCAGAACTAGAAATATATATATACATAATATTTGACAAAACAGACATGAATTGCTAATAGGTAATAAACAGCTGGTTTTTAAAGGATATTAGAGGCCTGTAATTCCATCACTTTGGGAGGCTGAGGCAGGAGGATCACCTAAGGCCAGAAGTTCGGGATAAGTTCCCCTTACAATCAACATTACAAGACCCCATCTCTACAAATATATAAAAAGTAAGCCAATCGATTATTAAACTGAAAATTTTGGCAAGGTTTTAGAGAAATTAAACTATCTAGACTTCGAGTTGATAGAAGAAATTACAAATCGAAAGACTGACATTTAAACTCAATAAAATTTAAAACTACAATGAAGAAAACAAATACAATGAAACATCAAGGGAAAATGTTTGTAGCAAATACGAGAGAAAGTCAAGTCCATGTTATAAAAGAGCTCACAAAAGTTAACATCATGACCCTAGAAGCCAGGCACATAACAAAAACAGAAAATTTGCATAAGAAAATAATACTGATAAACAAATATGTAAGAAAATGTTTAAACTCTCCAGCAATCAAAGCAATAGAACTTTAAACAGGAATAAACCTAAATAAATTATGAACATTAGATGGCCACTGAAAATAGTAAATTAAGACAATACAGGCCAGGTGTGGCTGCTCACGCCTGTATCCCAGCACTTTAGCGAAGGATAGCCTGAGCCCCAGGAGATGAAGACCAGCCTGGCAACATAGAGAAACCCCATCTCTACAAAAAAAAAAATTTTTTTTAATTAGTTAGGTGAGGTGAAGTGGGCCTATAGTCCCAGGTACTTGAGAAGCTGAGGTAGGAGTATCTTTGTTTTTTCAAGGAAGATTTCCTATATTCACTTTTTTTTTTTTTTTTTTTTTGAGACAATGTCTGGTTCTATCACCCAGGCTGCAGTACAGTGGCGTGATCTCAGCTCACTGCAACCTCCACCTCCCAGTTCCAGTGATTCTTGTGCCTCAGCTTCCAGAGTAGCTGGGATTACAAGCACACGCCACCATACCCAACTAATGTTTTTTGTATTTTTAGTACAGATGAGGTTTCACCATGTTGGCCAGGCTAGTCTCGAACTCCTGGCATCAAGTGATCCACCTGCCTTGGCCTCCCAAAGTGCTGAGATTACAGGTGTGAGCCACCGCGCCCAGCCAAGATACTTAATACTTTATTGTAATATAGGCTTTGTGCTAGATAATTTTGTCCAACTGTAAGCTAACATCAGTATTCTCAGCACAATTAAGGTGGACTGGGCTATGATACTCAGTAGGTTAGGTGTATTAAATGCATTTTGACTTACAATATTGGGATATAACCCCCTCCTAAATCGAGGAACATCTGTGTAGTAACTTAAAAATCTGAATTTGTGATTATATCTAAAAATTATATACACAGTTTTTCCTTTTACTTAATCCCTTCTTTTCCTTTATTATAAAATTATCACTGTAAAAAGCATTTTAAATATATAGTACAGTATTAAGTAAAAAGGAAATCTCACACCCTCTACCCCCATTCCACTCCCTAGAAGTATCTTCTGTTTCTGGTGTTTTCCTTCAGATAAAAGCTAAGGTCTGAAGTGAAAAAACTAGGGCTACCAACCTTAGGACCTTGAAAGTGCCCAGAAAATTCCTGTCATCTTCACATTAAATCTGCTTTTCCTTTTGCAGATTTAATGTGAAAATTCAGGAGGCCGGGCACAGTGGCTCATGTCTGTAATCCCAGCACTGTAGGAGGCCAAGGCGGGTGGATCACCTGAGGTCAGGAGTTTGAGACCAGCCTGGCCAACATGGTGAAACCCCCGTCTCCACTAAAAAATACAAAAATTAGCTGGGTATGGTGGTAGGCACCTGTAATCCCAGCTACTTGGGAGGCTGAGGCAGGAGAATCGCTTGAACCCAGAAGGCAGAGGTTACAGTGAGCCAACATAGTGCCACTGCACTCCAGCCTGGGCAACAAGAGTGAGACTCCATCTCAAAAAAAAAAAAGAAAAAAAAAAAGAAAAGAAAAAATTCAGGATATCCTTTATCCAGGTGCTTGGATAAAAGTTTATTGAGTTCAGGCCGGGCGTGGTGGCTCACGCCTGTAATCCCAGCACTTTGGGAGGCCGAGGCAGGTGGATCACGAGGTCAGGAGATCGAGACCATCCTGGCTAACACAGTGAAACCCCATCTCTACTAAAAATGTAAAAAATTAGCCAGGTGTGGTGGCAGGCGCCTGTAGTCCCAGCTACTCGGGAGGCTGAGGCAGGAGAATGGTGAGAACCTGGGAGGCGGAGGTTGCAGTGAGCCAAGATTGTACCACTGCACTCCAGCCTGGGCGACAGAGCAAGACTCCGTCTCAAAAAAAAAAAAAAAAAAAAAAAAGTTTGTTGAGTGCCTACTGTATTTCACTGTGCCAAGCAATTAACCATCACAGCAGCTCTGTAAGATGCATAGCGTTCCCATTCTGCAAAGGACAAATTTGGGCTCACTCCCTGACGTTAAGCAACTTGCAAAACCAGAATCAGAACTCACACCTGCCAAAACAGAAAGTCTGATTCTTTTCACTGTGGCAAGATATCTCAACATTCAAGATTTTCAAAGAAATTTTATTCATACTTTTGAATTTCTATTTTACTTAATTATTCGTACTATGAGAATATAGAGCCACATGACTTTTCTTAATAATAATGGGTACTAACTAGTTCAACTCTTTACATTTCTTAATTTTAAATTTTGCTAGGCTGGGTGCAGTGGCTCACGCCTATAATCCCAGCACTTTGCGGGGGCCGAGGCGGGTGGATCACTTGAGGTCAGGAGTTGGAGACCAGCCTGGCCAACATGGTCAAACCCCATCTCTACTAAAAATACAAAAATTAGCCAGGCATGGCAGTGGGCACCTGTAATCCCAGCTACTCGGGAGGGTGAGGAAGGAGAATCGTTTGAACCCGGGAGGCAGAGGTTGTGGTGAGCCCAGATCGCACCACTGCACTCCAGCCTGGGCAACAGAGCGAGACTCCGTCTCCAAAAAAAAAAAAAATTTTTTTTGCTAAATTTTCAGCTACATGGTAGGGTAAAAAGCTTTCGGCAGCCACATTAGGAATGAATACTCCCCATTTGCAACAGTGTTACAATACAGAAAAGCACTCAGCTTCAACCACTTTTAATAAATACACTTTTAAATGCAACCCACTTCTTATGGTGGAGCCTGTCCAAGGCCGTTGCACTAAATTAATATCCGAAAAAAGAATGGAGGTTTATTCTTAAAATAGTGTATGTCACCATTTTAAGAGTTAAGAATAAATCTCACCCCATACTTCCCCTTGGTAATTATAAATAAATGAATGGATCAGCTCCTAGTGCCACCGTGCCATTACGCAGCTACATGCTATGGTCCTTTAGTCACACTGGGTCTCATGAGATAACTAGACTTCTCATCTGTACAAAGAGAGCTTGGGTCACCATCCTAAAAATGATCCCCCTCAAAATTTAAGTGATGCTCCTCATTTTGAGAATTCTAGAAGTGCTGGGCATGATATTCTTCCTAGTCACCTCACCTACCCATTTTGTTTTCTTGCTTCTTAAATGTCTTAACTTCTATTTTCATGATCCCAGGGTGCCAGCCTGGACATATCCCAACATTCATGGAATTCTGAAATCACTTACAGGGAGAGGAGATCTGAAGAGCCCATCCCAGAAAATGCTCTATGCCAACAGTAAAGACATATGCACAAAAAAGACTTTGTTCCCAAGAACTAATTTCTTTCCAAGATACCTTTTCAATTCCTCTAAATTACAGAAAGTGACATACTTCTACTTAGTGCTAAGCTCGACTTATCACCGTGGAGTTGCTGACAGTCTCCAACCAGCCAGCGTTCCTACCTTCCCTTCTACAAGAGGGGTGTGCCCTATTCCTTGAGCTAGGGTACGGGCACTCAGCAGCAGAAAGGTGGCCCATGACAGACTTGAAAGCGCACACCAGGAATTGTCTGAAACTCAGAGAATGCTGGAATTAACTTTCTTCCTGTGACCTTTAACCTAGCTGAATTTTCTTCCATTTCCAGTACTAATCGTACTTTCTTCTCACTTGCAGAATTCCCTGTTCTGTCCTGCCTGACACGTTCTCTTCTTGGTTCTTTTCACCTGAACCTTATTCTGATCTGTTACTTCCTCCTGTCCAAGACCTAAGCACTGAACATACCTCACATATTTAAATGTTACCTCCTTCAACTGAGTGAAACGGTATTCATTGCTCCTATACAACTGCTCTTTAGCCGGCCGGGCGCAGTGGCTCACGCCTGTAATCCCAGCACTGTGGGAGGCCAAGGCGGGCGGATCACGAGGTCAGGAGATCAAGACTATCCTGGCTAACACGGTGAAACCCCGTCTCTACTAAAAATACAAAAAATTAGCCAGGCGTGGTGGTGGGCGCCTGTAGTCCCAGCTACTCGGGAGGCTGAGCCAGGAGAATGGCGTTAACCTGGGAGGCGGAGCTTGCAGTGAGCCGAGATAGCGTCATTGCACTCTGGCCCGGGCGACAGAGCGAGACTCCGTTTCAAAAAAAAACAAAAAAACAAAAAAAACCCCGCTCCTTAGCCTAAACAAATGTAAAACTCAATAAGAACAGGCAAAAGGATAAAAATAAGCTTCAATTTAAGCATAAATAATAATTTAAGATGTATCCTTGATCTATTGTGCAGCCCTTAGCAAAAAGCCTTGAATCGTTAGGTGATATCTCATTAGAACAGCGGCTTAATTTCAATATTGAAGCTGCTCTCCAAACAATGAAGAAAAGCAGAAATCTCTACATTTTCTATTTCTCAACCACTCCCAGTGCTCATTTATAGGAATTACCCCTAAATTTTCCCAGTTAACCTTTCAGGGAAACACAAACCCACAGCCACAGAAAACTTTCGTCTCTCTACACTTATACTCTCTTACTTATACTCACTGCCTCTACACAGTCATATTCACTCTCTACACACTCCTCTCTTTTCCCAAGAAAGAGCTCTGTTACAGGCAGAGGAGAAAATGGAGTGCCCTAGGATACACAATGGGGCCACTGTACTAAAAGGTGGAGCTTTTAGTAGAAGTAGAGGTATTATAAATAGAACTGAAGAGGGGAAGCTTTTCTCCCTCCAATCTCTATGATCTTTATTCCTGGCCTTAGAGTTACTGTAAATCCCAGATATTGGGGCTCCTCCAACTTGGGAGGGGTGGAGGTTATGGAGGAAACAGGATGGAACCAAACCAAAAAGGCAAACTGGGTCTAGCGCTAGAGGGGAAAGAGGGGCCCTCGGAACACACAAGATACAGGCCGGTTCACCAAGGTAGGAGAAAGAACTGGAAGAGGTTAATAGCTCACTAATAACGAAGAGCATGCCATTTGTCCTTGGTGCACTCACAACACTTTTTAGGGGTGGCAGCAGCCACATAGGTGGCTGACAGGGATTCTAGTCCTCTTTTCTCACCATAACATTCCCAGGCTTCTTTCCTTTGTCCTCTCTAGTTTACAATCTAAATAGGTGCTTCCAACCTTGATTTTTTAAAATCAAAGCCTTAAACAACAACAAAAATCACCACACCCAGTTTTATGATTGCCTCCATAAAATAGACCAGGCACCTTTCCATGATGCCAGGCCAATGGGCAGGGTGTGCTAGGGTAATATGCCACTATTATGCCCTCCCTTAAAAAAAAAAAAAAAAACCTGAAGATCATCACAAATGTCTCCACTGCCTTTTTTTTTTTTTTTTTTTTTTGAGACAGAGTTTTACTCTTGATGCCCAGGCTGGAGTGCAATGGCACTGTCTCAGCTTACCGCAAGCTCTGCCTCCCGGGTTCAAGCAATTCTCCTGCCTCAGCCTCCCGAGTAGCTGGGATTACAGGCACCCGCCACCACGCCCGACTAATTTTGTATTTTTAGTAGAGACGGGGGTTTCTCCATGTTGGTCAGGCTGGTCTCGAACTCCCGACCGCCAGGTGATCCGCCCACCTCAGCTTTCCAAAGTGCTGGGATTACAGGCGTGAGCCACCGGGCCAGGTCAGTTACTCCTTAAGTATGCAAAAGCACTCAACAAAAAAACACCTCAGGGGATCATGCCTGCTGGGTGGTCTTTAAAGGAAATGGGCTACTTTCCTATACTGGAAAAAAACACCTGACAGAAAAAAAGACGCTCTAGAGTAGCTGAAAATAAAATGCCTGGCTAATGCAGAACCTGATGAAGAAATAGGATGAAGTGTAACATTCTACTGAGGTCATGATATCCCAGCATAAGGCAGAGTTTTAAATCTTGTTTCTCAACAGGGGGAGGAGTGGGGGCCAAGGAAGGAGCATCGGAATCACTAGAGACATTTAAAATACAGTCGGCCCTCCTTATCCATGGGTTCTGCATCCATGGATTCAACAAACTATGGATCAAAAACAGTCAGAAAAAAATAAAGAAAGATATAAATAAAACAATACAGTGTAACAACTATTTATGTAGCATTTACATTGGATCAGGTATGATAAGTAATCTAGAGATATATCTAGAGTAATCTAGAGGTATGATAAGTAATCTAGAGATGTTTTCAAGTATATATTATGCAATGTGCTAAGGTTATATGCAAATACTATGCCATTTTATATAAGGAAGTTGAGCAACTGTGGATTCTGATATCTGCAGGTGTCCTGGAACCAAACCCCCACAGATACCAAGGGACTACTATGTGTCTGGATCTCCCACCCCGACCTACTGAACCACAATCTCTATGGTAGGGCCCAGATAGGTGTATTTTTTTTTTTTTTTAAGTTCCCCAGGTGATTCTAATGCACACACCTGGTTAACAACCATAGTTAAAAAAATGATGAGGCCAGGCACAGCAGCTCACGTTTGTAATTCCAGCACTTTGGGAGGCTGAGACGGGCGGATCACCTGAGGTCAGGAGTTTGAGACCAGCCTGGCCATTATGGTGAAACCCAGTCTCTACTAAAGATACAAAAATTAGCCAGGCGTAGTGGCGGATGCCTGTAATTCCAGCTACTCAGGAGGCTGAGGCAGGAGAATCGCTTGAACCCGGGAGGTGGAGGTTGCAATGAGCCAAGATTGCGCCACTGCCCTCCAGCCTGGGCAACAGAGCGAGACTGTACAAAAAAAAAAAAAAAAAGATAGAAACATTCTTCAATCAAGAAAACTACAAGTAGACCAAAAAACTCAGGCTTCAGTTTCTTCATTAAATGAGATGGTTGAACTAGATTAGCAGTTGAACTAGTTATTGGTAGTGTTTGGGGGAGGGGAGGTGTTAGCCAAAACACCCTCTGTAACAAGTGAATTTTATTCAAGAAATTCAACAGTAAAACAAAAGCAGAGCTACTTTGGATGGGGGAAGGAAGGTGTGTTGAAGCTCTTCCCTCTCACCCCCAGGTCACCTCAGTGGAATCACCAAAGCTCCACAGAGCACAAGATGGTCTCTCAGAACAGCTGCAGCTTCCAAATTCTTTGACCTTCCAAACCTTGAAATCCACAATTTAAATGGCAGAGATCTTACAGTTTTTGTTTTCTTATAAACTTCATATGAGAAAATGCCCCCTTTTCTAGTGATATAGCATGCCTTGCTATGTCATCTTCTATTATTTAGAAAGACAAGTGTTATCCTCCTCACTTAAGTCATCACTGAAACCCAAGCTCCAGTTTCCTGGAAGTTTTAAGCTCAGAAAAGAAGCCTAGACACAAGAGGGCATGCAAAATACAGGTTAGTGTTTGCCCCAGGAGAAGGAAGAATGGGACCAGAGGGGCACAAAAAAGACTTTAAATGTAGCGATGTTGGTTTTGTTTTGTTTTGTTTTTAGAGGAAAGGGAAATATCTCAAATGTTAACATTTGTTAGTTCTGGAATACAATGATGTTTGTTGTACTGTTCTCTGGACTTTCTTGTAGCATTTTAAGATTTTCAGAATTAAAATACACACATACACACACACTTGTTTATTAGCACCACTTCAAACACCCTTTTTATTAAACGTTAATTACAAATATTTCATTATCCCTCACTTGACTTTTCCACCAAAGCTCACTTATAGAATACATGATCTATAATTACATCTACCCTGGGACTCTGCAAAAGAACACAAGCACCAGAACAAAAGAAATGAATCACTGATAACAAAATGACACTCTAAAATTAAGACCACAAGGTTGTGGGGCATCTGAAAAAGGAAAAGAGCAGCTTTACATTCACTTCACAAAGAATGCAGAGGATGCTGACTCTGAATATTGCCAAACAGATGGACCTACACCAACAGCACCACGCTTCTAAGCCTCCCAAACCAAGCAGCCACTCCGCAGGTCATAGGAGGAGGAGACTCAATTCATATATAAATCAAAATTCATGAAGCATAAGTGAAACATTAAAGCCAATAACTTCAAATCCTAAAAATGCTATTTCCACCCCACAGTTGGTAACGCCCAAAACATGCACAATAAGCATAAGACTGAACAATAGAAACCTGGAAAACCGTTCAGTACACTTAAATGCCCATCACAGTGATTCATGATAAACTCTCATCAAGGCTACTTATTGCCATAAATAAATACCCTACCTATACTTATTCCCTCAACCACCAGCTTCCCAGTTACATCTATAACATACTCAAATAAATCTTTTCTTTTTTTTCCCCCCACCAAAAACAGGAGTTTTGTCACCCAGGCTAGAGCACAGTGGTGAGAGCACGGCTCACTGCTGCCTCGACCTCCCGGACTCAAGTGATCCTCCCTCCTCAGGCTCCCGAGTAGCTAGGACTACTGGCATGCACCACCATGCCTGGCTAATTTTTAAAATTTTTTTGTAGAGATGGGGTGTCACTATGTTGCCCAATCTGGTCTCAAACAGCTGGGTTCAAGTGATTCCCCCCCACCTCGGCCTCCCAACGTGTTGGGATTACAGGCATGGACCACTGTGTTCAGCCTCAAAGCAATCTTTATTTGTATTCACACTATTATCAGTTCCCTTCTCTTAATCTTCTCTCCAGCCAGCCAATCTTTACCTCTTCGCTTCTTCCAAATGACAAAGGTACTCATAAGCCACGTTCTGACGTCTCCTTTCATCCATCTCCTCTGCAGTAAGTCTTTCATTATCCAGGACAGCTACAACATAAAAGAAAGAATGTAAACACCAGGATCTGTAGCCTTCCTGAGTGATAAAAGATTGCCACAGAATCAATTTCCTGCCACTCACCTAGAAAGTCAGGATAACTAATGAGTGTGTAGCCAGCCAGGTGTACTACAATGACTTTCTTAAAAAAAGAACTATGTGGTTTCAACTATAATCATCTTGACCTTTTTAAAAATGTATGATAATATAAATATGTACTAAGTTTCAGTGTAATCTTGAAAAATACTGTCTTGAGATTTTGGCACAAATCTGTCCCTATCTGCCAGAACTCCTTCTAAATACAGATCTGATAATATTGTTTCCCTCTTTTATTAATGACCAAAGCCAGCAGTTATTGAGACATAAGTGGCAGTAATTGTACGAAGCATTTTACACGCATTCTCTCATTGAAACCCCACAACAATCCTGTGATTATCACTCCTATTTTACAGACGAAGAAACTGAGGCTGGGTGAACTCAGCCCCATGGCAAATAAGTGACAGGGCCTGAATCCAAACCTGGAGAGTCTGTCTCCAAAGCCTGAGCTTAACCTTGAAGCAATCTGCTTCCTTCATGGGCACCAGGTGTGGAATAAATTCCTAACTCCTTGGGAAGGCATTCAAGGCCTTTCCCAGTCTGGTCCCAACTATTTTTGGAAACTCTCCTCTTCCCTTCCTCCCACCACTGTGCAGTCTACATCACTCAGTTCCCAACACAGTATCCCTCTACTTTCAATACCTTTGTTTATGCTCTTCCCTCAGGTCCTGTCTCTTGTTCCACATGCCCTATCAAACTTTTTTTTTTTTTTTTTTGAGACAGGGTCTTGTTCTGTCACTCCGGCTCGAGTGCAGTGGCACAATCATGGCTTACTGCAGCCTCGACTTTCTGGGCTCAAATGATCCTCCTACCTCAGCCCCAAGCAGCTGGGACCACAGGCATGGGCCACCACGCCTGGCTAATTTTTTTTTTTTTTTTTAAGAGATGGAGTCTCACTGTGCTGCCCAGGCTGGTCTCAAACTCAAGGCCTCAAACTATCCTCTCACCTCGGACTCCCAAAGTGCTGGGATTACACGCAGGAGTCACTATGCCTGGCCACCTGTCAAACTTTCTACACAGCATTCTTCAAGGCTCTGTTCAAATGTCACCTTCAGGCCAGGTGCAGTGGCTCACACTTTGGGAGGTCGAGGCGTGGGGATCATTTGAGATCAGGAGTTTGAGACCAGCCTGACCAACACAGTGAAACCCTGTCTCTACTAAAAATACAAAAATTAGCCAGTGTGGTGGCCGACGCCTGTACTCGGGAGACTGCAGGAGAATCGCTTGAACCTGGGAGGTGGAGTTTGCAGTGAGCTGAGATTGCACCACTGAACTCCAGGCTGGGCGACCAGAGCAAGACCCCCTGTCTCCAAAAAAAAAAAAAAAAAAGTCACCTCCCGTGCTCATACTGTCTTCCCCAGGCCCCTTCTCCTTACCTACATTACTCTGTATGGCTAGTAAGTTCAGCATCTTTTATCATTATTGCACCTTATAATCATTAGCTTGCACACCTGACTCTCTGATTAAAACGCTCTTTGGAGACAGGGCCTGATCTTACTCATCTTTAATTTCACAAACGTGGCACAATACCTCACGTATAACTGTTGATGCGTGAAATGTTGATCCTTTAAAAAAGAACATTATTCCCACAATATAAAATAAAACCGAAAACCTCAAAATCCCAAAGGGTCCTCCTTTAGCCAATCCTGCCTGCAGTTCAATGACGTCCAGGGCCGACAACAGAAAATGAGGAAGTCAGAGGATTTTCTGCTTCTTTTTTTTTTCTTTATTACTATTTTACTTTTGAAATCTTGAGGAGGGAACTAAGCCCGAGAAAACTGAAGTGACTTGCCCAGGACGGCACCTCGTAGCTAGCCTGGGACCGGACAGGTCTGGACCCTGGTCTATCCCTTGGGTCTACCCCGCAGGCAACACTAGGGCAGCGCCTTTCCACGAAACGGGCAGAGCCCGCGTACCCAGACCCCCAATCCCCGGGACACGCCCTGCGCGGTCATCCTGCCACCTCACTCTAGGCCGTCTTCCCCAATCTCGGCCGAGCCTGGGCGGCGAGAGGCGCTGGGTGGGGCTCCCCCTACCGCGGCCCCAGCTAAGGCGGGAGGCCTCGGGGGTCCTCTCCGCCGCCTCGGACCCCGAGGGGGCGCGAACCAGGGGCCTCCCCGCCCGCCGCCCGCCGCCCCACCGGGACGGCTCTTCCGGGTCCGAGCTGCCGGCAGCCGCCCTGCCCCACCCGCCCGGCCGAGCCCCCAGGAAAATCGCGCCTCGTCTGCAATTAGCCCAGCCCGAAGCCCCCGCGCCGCGGAGCCCCGCACTCACAGCCATAGTGCGGCCGGGCCACGCCCAGCCCGTCAACCTCGTCTGCGGCGGACATGGCGGACGAGCCCGAGTCTCTGCTGAGGAAGCCGTGAAACCTTGGAGGCGCGGACGGCGGTAGCTACAGCTCCTGCCAAGTGCGCGGGCTTGCCGGGGTCCCCGAGGCCCCGCCCCGTGCCGTCAGCCCCACCCCGCAGGCCCCGCCCCAGCGGCACCGCCCCAGCGACACCGCCCTGAGCGGCCGGAAAGAGGCGGGGCCAGAGTCACCGTGCCCCGCCCCTAACTCCGCCCCCTCAGCCCGGCCCCGCCCTGCATCCCGCTATGGTCTCCGTAGGCGGAAGGAAGAAGGTAGAGCCCATCCTCCAATCGGGCTCACGCTGAGCTTGCCCTGCCGGGAATGCCCGCCCAGGTTTATAGCCCCGCCCCCAAGGCCACTGCCCTATCCGCAACTCTAACCGAAAGGCTGCCGGTGTCTGCTGCCTGAAATCAAAATAGTGGGTCATCTCCCTTCTCTTGCCGGCCCAGCTAACCTCTGCACCAATATTTGGAGAAGACACCCTTTGAGGTGACCCAGGTTGTCTTGTTGGACACAAGCAGGCCCCAAACTGCCATGAAAGCCCTCCAACCCCACTCTCCGCAGTTTGGCAACCTGGCCTCAGTCCTCTTAGATTCGGCAGCAGTCACCAGATTACCCAGGTACCCAGGTATTTGAGATGCGGATGCTAAAGCCGAACTCTGTCCAAATTCCCTACCTTTGGATC
Organism: Homo sapiens; assembly: GCF_000001405.40. Classification (NCBI taxonomy): domain Eukaryota; kingdom Metazoa; phylum Chordata; class Mammalia; order Primates; family Hominidae; genus Homo; species Homo sapiens. Next base: position 90,387,638 of record NC_000015.10, on the reverse strand, counting down.
CCTTGACATTGTTCTTTGCAAGTTCTTTTTAAAATAACTCTTTTCCCGTATCAGGGATGCCTCTGCCCCCTGCACCTTGTGGCTTGCCCTTCAGATATTGGTATTCAACGGTATTCTGTCCGCAGCCCTCTTCTGTTTATTCTTTTTTCTTTTCTTTCTTTCTTTTTTTTTATTTTCTTTTTTTTTTGAGACGGAGTCTCGCTCTGTCGCCCAGGCTGGAGTGCAGTGGCGCGATCCGGGCTCACTGCAAGCTCCGCCTCCCGGGTTCGCGCCATTCTCCTGCCTCAGCCTCCCGAGTAGCTGAGTCTACAGGCACCCGCCACCGCGCCCGGCTAAGTTTTTGTATTTTTAGTAGAGACGGGGTTTCACCGTGTTAGCCAGGATGGTCTCGATCTCCTGACCTCGTGATCCACCCGCCTCGGCCTCCCACAGTGCTGGGATTACAGGCGTGAGCCACCGCGCCCGGCATTTTTTTTTTTTTTTTTTTTTTGAGACGGAGTTTTGCTCAGTCGTTCAGGCTGGAGTGCAGTGGCGCGATCTCGGCTCACTGCAACCTCCGCCTCCCGGGTTCAAGCGACTCTCCCGCCTCAGCCTCCCAAGTAGCTGGGATTATAGGTGCCCGCCACCACGCCCAACTACTTTTTTTGTATTTTTAGTAGAGGCAGGGTTTCACCATGTTGATCAGGCTGGTCTCGAACTCCTGACCTCAGGTAATCCACCCGCTTCTGCTTCCCAAAGTGCTGAGATTACAGGTGTGAGCCACCGCGCCCGGCCCTCTTCCGTTTATTCTTTGCCTACTCAGTAATCTTTTCTACACTCGCCTATAACTGCTGAGGACCCCTCGATATGTATCACCAGACCAGATCGTCTGGAAGTCCCTCAGTATTTTCAGCTAATGAACACTTTCACCTGTGTATAGGGCAGACACTTCAAATCCCACGTGTCAAATACTGACCCTGCTCCTGCTATATTCTCTATTCACAGAAGTACTCAATTCCCAGTGGGAACACCCCAGGCTCCTTGCCTCGCACCCTACATCCAATCTGTGTTTATTTCTGAGATGTCTACTTTTGTCTCCATCCCTGTTGTGATTACACTGTAGTCGCCCTTCTGCCAACTAGATCCTCACAGTTATCAGGGTGTTCTCTCTAAAGTGCAAATGCAATTGTGTTTCTCTTTTTAAATTTTTTTTTCTATTCCTCCCTTCAAGATAATGGGCCAAGTTCAGCATGATTTAGCATGCCAAATCATAGCCTGACTCCAGATGTTTTGCTCCAGCTATTTTCAATGTATTCACTCTTCCTTCAGACTATTAAAGATACTTGAAAACCTGTAAGAACAAAACACCCCTGTAGAAAAGTGGGCAAGGGTTTCATTTATTAAGCCTACAAAGTAAAAAGTTATTTCATTCTTAAGCTTTTAAGTTCACTTTACAAATTGTATTATTCTATTTATAAGTCTAGCACATTTTACCAAACACTTTTCAGAAACTGAATGATTTATTTATTTCGGAGGCGGGGGGGTCACATTTTTATTGGGGGCCACAGGGGACATGGTCTTCTCCATGTCAATGGAAGTGCTTGCAGTTTCTTCAACCACTCCATGCTTGGGCCTTGGGGGTGGCTGGGCATGTCCAGCATGTTCCCATCATCTCGGAGGGGCACTGGGTTGTTGTGGGGCGTGGCCTAGTTGATCCTGGTGGAGTACATGGTATAGGGGCAGACTGGGGTCAGATTTATAGCTAGGCCCCCGATGGTGAGGAACAGGACCAGCACCCGCTCCTTAGGCCAGGCATTCTTGAGAAAGGCAGCCGCAATGGCAACGAGGACATAGAGCATTCTGAAATTTCCTGAAAATTTTTTTTTAAGTCTCACTCAGTTAATTCAACATCTTCAAATATTTAAAATTATGCCTACTAGGGCAGGCACAGTGGCTCACACCTGTAATCCGAGCACTTTGGGAGGTCAAGGTGGGTGGATCACCTTAGGTCAGGAGTTCGAGAGCAGCCTGGCCAACATGGTGAAACCCCCGTCTCTACTAAAATACAAAAAAATTAGCTTAGTATGGTGACACACGCCTGTAGTCCCAGCTACTCGGGAGGCTAAGGCAGGAGAATCACTTGAACCCAGGAGGCAGAGGTTGCAGTGAGCCGAGATTGTGCTCCTGCAATCCAGCCTGGTTGACGGAGCGAGACTGTCTTTTAAAAAATAATAATAATTGCCGGGCACGGTGGCTCACGCCTGTAATCCTAGCACTTTCGGAGGCCGAGGTGGGCGAATCACGAGGTCAGGATATTGAGACCATCCAGGCTAACACGGTGAAACCCCAGCTCTATTAAAAACACAAAAAAAAAAAAAATTAGCCGGGCATGGTGGCGGGCACCTGTATTCCAGCTACTCGGGAGGCTGAGGCAGGAGAATGGCGTGAACCCTGGAGGCGGAGCTTGCAGTGAGCCAAGATCATGCCTCTGCACTCTAGCCTAGGCAATAGAGCGAGACTCCATCTCAAAAAAATAAATAAATAAAAATAAAAAATAATAATAAAGAATAAATTGTGCCTATTATATTGTCTATATTAGATTTCCTATTACATTTTCTTTTTTTTTTTCTTTTGAGATGGAGTTTCACTCTTGTCACCCAGGCTGGAGTGCAATGGTGCAATCTCAGCTCACTGCAACCTCCGCCTCCCGGGTTCAAGGGATTCTTCTGCCTCAGCCTCCCAAGTGGCTGGAATTACAGGCACCCGCCACCACACCTGGCTAATTTTATATATATATATATTTTTTTATTAGAGATGGGGTTTCACTATATTGGCCAGGCTGGTCTCAAACTCCTGACCTTGTGATCCACTGGCCTCGGCCTCCCAAAGTGCTAAGATTACAGGCATGAGCCACCGCACCTGGCCTAGATTTTCTTTTTAGTTCATTCAATCGTATAAAACTTTTTCAAAACTTTTTTTTTTTTTTGAGACGGAGTCTCACTCTGTCGCACAGGCTGGAGTGTAATGGCACAATCTTGGCTCATTGCAACCTCTGCCTCCTGGGCTCAAGCGATTCTCCTGCCTCAGCCTCCTGAGTAGCTGGGATTACAGGCACGCACCACCGCGCCCAGCTAATTTTTGTATTTTTAGTAGAGACGGGATTTCACCATGTTGCCCAGGCTGGTCTTGAACTCCTGACCTCAGGTGATCCACCCACCTCTGCCTCCCAAACTGCTTGGATTACAGGCGTGAACCACTGTGCCCGGCCTAGATTTTCTTTTTAATTCATTCAATTGTTTAAAACTTTTTCAAAACTTAGTAATTCCTATAAATAAACATACAAGCATAACAAAGCTAACATTCTCTTAGATGGCCTGATTCCATGTGTAAACTTAGTAAGCTTTCAACTCAAAAACCTAAGTCTAAAACTAACTCAATTACACATTTAAAATGATTTACAAAAAAGCTGTCATTCAAGTCGGCCAAATTTTCTTAAACATTGCGAATACATAAAATGTGAAATATTTCTTCTTCTTCTTCTTTTTTTTTTTTTTTTTTTGAGACAGAGTTTCACTCTGTCACCCAGGCTGGAGTGCAGTGGCGTGATTTCGGCTCACTGCAACCTCAGCCTCCCAAGTTCAAGTGATTATCCTGCCTCAGCCTCCTGAGTAGCTGGGCTTACAGGCGCACACGACCACACCCGGCTAATTTTTGTATTTTTACTGGAGGTGAGGTTTTGCCATGTTGGCCAGGCTGGTCTCGAACTCTTGACCTCAAGTGATCTGCCCACCTTGGCCTCCCAATGTGCTGGGGTTATAGGCATGAGCCACCATGCCCAGCCGAAATATTTCTTCTTAACTCCAACATATTAATCCAATTGTTCATTCCATAAAGGCTTTCTTTACTTAATTACAAAGTTTGTCTGAGGTGAAAGCCACAGAGATGTTAAGTTACCAACTGCACTGGTACCTTACTATACTAAGTGTTGCACATTTATTTTCTCAGCTGATCCTTGTAATAATCCCATTATGTCCATTTTACACTTGGGAAAATGGAGAACTGGGTTACTTACCTGAAGCCACACAGCAAGAGGCAGAGCTGGAACTCAAACCCAGGCCTGTCTAATGACAAAGCCCAATTCCTAGTCAATAAACTCAAGATTCAGAGAAATAGACATTAAGATAATAACATGCTGGCCAGGCACAACGGCTCACACCTATACCCCCCAGCACTTTGGGAAGCAGAGGAGAGAGGATTGCTTGAGGCCAGGAGTTCAAGACCAGCCTGGGCAAAATGAAAAACCCCGTCTCTACAGAAAATACAAAAAATTAGCCCAGCGTGGTGGCATGCTACCCAAAAGGCTGAGGTGGGAGGATCGCTTGAGCCTGGGAGTTGAGGCTGCAGTGAGCTGTGATCCCGCCACTGTGCTCCTGCCCAGGTAGACAGAGTGAGACCCATCACCAAAAAAAAAAAAAATAGAAAAGATAACATGCCACATATCACTTCTTGCCTATCATATGTAGCAACATTTTGGTTTGTCTTTTTAATTGATATTATTGGCAAGGGGGTGAAAAAGCAACCACTCTTATGCAATGTTAGTAGGCAATAAATTAATATAGTCTTTCTAAAGACCAGCTTATCATTATGCATCTATTCTTCAACCAAAAAACTTCACTTCTTGGAATGTATCATAAGGATATCGTGCTTTTATTAAATGTGCAAAAGTTATCCATGAAGATGCTCCTTGGAAATTACTCAAATGTCCATCAGTAGGTGTTTAAATCAGTGATGGCAGCTATACACAATAGAATGCCATATAGCCATGAACAGTGATGATCTGTGGTCTGGTCAGGCTTGACTGGCTACAGGAAACAGACATGCACAGTTTTACTTCTAGAGGAAAAAAGGCTGGAAGGGAGGCCTTTCTTATACAGACCTATATGGACTGGAACTGCACCAAAAACAAAACTACACTAAACAAAAAAAAACAGGACTAATGAAAGCTTGAAGTCATGGTTTCATTCTCTGGGCATCTCTGCTTTTCCACAGGCTGGCTCTACTCTCCACTCTTTGCTAACCAGCTTACTCCATTTAATTTTTTCTGTTCCCTCACAACTCTTGTTTCTGCTTGCCTTGCCATGGCTTTGACTGAAGGTCATGGTATCCTTACATCATCAGCTCCATTGAGGATCATCTCAATTGCCTAACTCCATAACCCATAGAGTGGCATATGATTGACCCAGCTCAGCTTTCCACCCTGTGGGTAAATCTCTGACCACCCACAGGCAGGCTGCCCTTAGATTGGATGCTGATCCTTTACTTCAATCAACTATGATCAGGAGATACAGATAATTAAGCATAGAGAACTATGAGCTGGGCATAATTTCCTTCAGTGGGAGGCTGGGCAGGCAAAAAATGTACAGGCTGGCAGTACAATATTTTAATATTGTGGTTAAGTTAATATATCAAATTATGACTAATAAATATGATACCATTTTGTTTTAAATGTAGCTAGATAGATAGATACATTGATGGATATGTGCATATGAATAGATAAAGCCTTGAAGTATATACACCAATATATTAACAGTGGCTTCTCCAGGCAGTGCTATTACACTGGATTTGTGTGGGGTTTGCTTGCTTGCTTGTCTGTATTTAAAATGAGCTGCTGGAAATACTATTTTGTCAGCAAATATAAATATGAATAAAATTAGTAAATATGAAATGAATAAACGGCAAAATAATGAGGTAAATGGTCATTTTGGGAGTCAAAATTGGTTAATGACCACAAAGAATTTACAAGCCAGGAGGAGTCAAGCAATATTAACAGGATATCTTGAGATAAGCACCATAATAGAAGTTTCCCTTGCTTGGAATACCTTTTAGCCTATTATCTGCCTGGGAAACTCCTACTGAACCTCCCAGACCCAATTCAAATGTCACCTACTCCCCAGGCAAAATTAATCACTTCCTCATTTATTATATTTCCCAGTAGTACTTTTAGAAACCAGGTATCTTCAGAAATAAGTCTTACTGTCTAGTAAGTACAACATTTTCAAGAAATAAGTCCCAATTTTTTTTATATTTAAATGCCTCTGAAATCAGGATAGGTCTTACAATCAGTGTTAAGAGAAACTAGCCAGCTACCAGGAGAAAAGTAGATGGAGAAGTAACACAATTGTTGACATAGTTTGGATATTGGTCCCCATCCAAATCTCATGTTGAACTATAATCCCCAGTGTTGGAGATGGGGCCTGGTGGGAGGTGATTGGATCATGGGGGCGGTTTTCTCTTGAATGGTTTAGCACCATTCCCTTGCTGCTGTTCTTGTGATAGGGAGTGAGTTTTCATGAGATCTGGTCATTTAAGAGTGTGTGGCACTCTGTCTCTCACTCTTGATTTCACCATGTGATGCGCCTCCTCCCCATTCACCTTCCACCATGATTGGAAGCTTCCTGAGGCCTCCCCAGAAGCAGATGCCACTATGCTTCCTGTACAGTCTTCAGAACCGTGAGCCAATTAAATTTCTTTTCTTATAAATTACCCAGTCTCAGCCAGGCACAGTGGCTCACACCTATAATCCCAGCACTTTGGGAGGCAGAGGTGGGTGGATCACTTGAGGTCAGGAGTTCAAGACCAGCCTGATCAACACAATGAAACCCCATCTCTACTAAAAAAAGAAAAAAAAATAGCAAGGTGTGATGGTGTGTGCCTATAATCCCAGCTACTCCGGAGGCTGAGGCAGGAGGATCACTTGAACCCAGGAAGTGGAAGTTGCAGTGAGCCAAGATTGCACCACTGCACTCCAGCCTGGGTAACAGAGCAAGACTCTGTCTCAGAAAAAGGAAAAGGAATTACCCAGTCTCAGGTATTTCTTTCTAGCAATGCAAAAATGGACCAACACAGAAAATTGGTACCAAGGAGTAGGGCACTGCCATAAAGATACCTGAAAATGTGGAACCGACTTTGCAACTGGGTAACAAGTAT